>NC_000007.14:151276561-151428076 GCF_000001405.40 Homo sapiens
TGTCACAGAGGGGCTGAATGGGAGTCTGCCAGTCAGGGAAGAGGTGCAAGGAAGGGGTAGGAGGAAGAGGTACGAGGTTGGGGTGGGGGTGGAGGGAGGTGCCAGGCGGGGGGACGGAAAGAGTCAGGAGTGGGGGGAGATACCTGGAAAGGAGGAGGGGAGGAAGATGCCAGGAAGGGAGAAGGGGATGCCAGGTAGGGAGGAGGGGAAGTGCCAGGTGAGGAGAAGGTGCCAGGCAGGAGAAGGAGGGGGGATGCCTGGCAGTGGGAGAAGGGAAGCCAGGCAGGGGGAGGAGGGGGAAGCCAGGCAGGGGGAGAAGGGATGCCAGGCAGGGAGGAGAAGGGATGCCAGGCAGGGGGAGGAGGGGGATGCCAGGCAGGGGGGAGGAGGAGGAGGAGGATGCCAACAGAGGCGAGCAGAGACTGCCAGGCAGGGAAGGCGGGGGCGCCGGCGCAGCGCGGCCGGGAGGCGCCTTCGCCAAGGGCCGTGGGGGCCGCGCGGCGCGGGTCGCTCACCTGCTCCCCCGGGACCCCGGCCCGGAGCGCGGCCGCCCGCTCCCTGCTCGGCGCTCGGCTCGGCCCGGCGCCTGCGCCGCTGCAGCCCGGAGCGGGGGAGGCGCAGGGAGCGTCTGCAAAGAGCGAGGAGCTTAATAATGAGTTAGGGACCGGAGCAGGAAGCGTCGCCCCATCCAGCCGTCGGTGTGCTCGCCAGCTCGGAGGCCCTCGGCGGGCCCTGGCCAGACCCGTTGTGATCTTCAGCCTGTACACAGATGTGTCGTAGGCCTGTGCTTGCATCTGCACGCCCACGAGTCACACACGCAGTCAGCATCCTGTGTGGCCGCAGACATCACCTACACTAGGACCACACACGCGCATGCACGTGGGCGCGCACACACAGGCACACAAACGGTTGTCCTCACACAGATTCAGTCAGATCATCCTATGTGGCTGCAGACATTACCTAGACGAGGTCCCGGACACCCATGTGCACCCCCCACCCCCTCAAAACGCACATACCCTGGGAGGCTTTGGGTCCATCAAGCCTCAGGGCCATGTTCTCACTAATGCCAATCTCCTCCTTTTATGTACTCAATACTTAAATTTGGCAGCTTGGAGAAGCCTATTCCCAGCTTCCAGCCAGACAAGCCCAGCTCTGGCCATCTCATGGGCTCTTCCAGGGCCCCGCCTCACACGGCTGAGCTACCACAGTGCCCAGCACAGAGGGGGACCCCAGCCTACCTGCAGAGTGAAGGAGCCCTAGAGAGCTCAGGCAACGGCGGGGGAAGTGGGAGCACCTCCCTAAGCAGCCAGCGGGCAGGGAGCCTGCCAAGCATTTGGGGCCAGGTGGGCCTCGTAGGCCCCCAGTAGGAGGCAGGCAGGCAGCAGGGACCCATGGTCTGAGGCTGAGGTCAAGGTCAGGTCCTTCTCCCTCAGGTTCCCGTCTCTGCCCCTGCCGATATCCAGCCTCTCCCCCAGGCCAGGTCACACCTTCAACACTAGGGGTATTTTGGGGTCTGGGCTCTGCACTGCCTGGGTTTGTCTCTGTTATGGGCAGGCCCAAGGCAGAGACAGAGCTTTTCCACCCCTTCCCTTTCTGGTATCTTCCTATCCTCCCTTCATCTGAAAATATTTCTGTTTTATTCTTTTAATTTTTTTTTTTTGAGATGAAGTCTTGCTCTCGTCCCCCAGGCTGGAATGCGATGGCGCGATCTCGGCTCACTGCAACCTCTGCCTCCTGGGTTCAAGAGATTCTCTTGCCTCAGCCTCCCAAGTAGCTGGGATTACGGGCACCTGCCACCATGCCTGGCTAATTTTTGTATTTTTAGTAGAGACGGGGTTTCACCATGTTGGCTAGGCTGGTCTCGAACTCCTGACCTCAGGTGATCTGCCCGCCTCGACCTCCCAAAGTGCTGGGATTACAGGTGTGAACCACCACACCCGGCATGTTTTAAATTTTTAATTGTGATAAAATAAACATAATGTAAAATTTACCATCTTAGCCATTTTGCAGCGTATGTTAGGTTTTGTAAAGTATTTCACATTGTTGTGCAACCAGTCTCCAGAACTCTTTCCATCATCCCAAACTGGAGCTCTGTATCCATCTAACAACAACTCCCCCTTCCCCCTTCCTGTCCCCTGGCAACCACATTCTACTTTCTGTCCATAAATTTGACTACTCCATGTACCTCATATAATGCCTTTGTGGCTGGCTTATTTCACTTCACACAATGTCTTCAAGGTTCATCCACGTTGTAACACGAGTCAGGATTTTCTTCCTTTTTAAGGCCGAAATGTATTCCACTGTGTGTATACACCCCTGTTGTTGTTATTGTATTAGAGATGGGATCTTACTCTGTCGCCCATGCTGGAGTGCAGTGGCACGATCTAGGCTCACTGCAGCCTTGGACTCCTGGGCTAAAGCAATCCTCTAGCCTCAGCCTCCTAAGTAGTGGGACTACAGGTGCACACCACCACACCAGGCTAGTTTTTGTATTTTTTGTAGTGATGGGCTTTCGCCATGTTGCCAAGTCTGGTCTCGAACTCTTGAGCTCAGGCGATCCACCCAGCTCGGCCTCCCGAAGTGCTGGGTTTACAGGCTGGAGCCACTGCACCGTTGTTTATCCATTCATTTACTGTGGGACACTTGGGATGCTTCCATCATCTGGCTGTTGCGATTTGTGCTTTTACTCCCCTTTTAAAACACGCTGACATCAAACAGGAGGGAAACTGACCCTGGCTTGGCCCAAGGAAGACGTTCTCAGCCTTCCCACGCCCCTTCCCCCGCGCCTGTGTTCCTACCTTCAGGACCCTTACCCCAGGCACTCTTACACCTCTGGCTACTCAAAGGACCCGCTATGGACATTTTAACCACATTTGCTTACTTAATGCCCTTCATCAAAACTGATTCTTCTACCCGTTTTCATGAAGGGGCCTGAGTCCATGGTAAGGAGGAGTCCCTGCTGTCCTTCCTGGGGACATTTCCCTTTGAACGAGGGGTTTTTGGAGGTGCAGTGTCTTATAACCCCAGGAAACAAACCTGGAGGCAGTGCTTGGACAGCAGGTGTGGCAGGGAAGGGAGAGGTGGGGTGGGTATTTTGAGTGGGGAGAGCATTGTCCAGTGAACTGGGAGAGGCTGAGAGCTTCTGAATGGTGGGTTTTGGTGCAGCTTGAAAGGCTTCCTGGGACCCAGACCCTGGTGCCCGGAGGTCAGCGCTGGCTTCACTCCCTTGGGCCGAGGATAACCTGTGTATAGGCAGTGTCTGCCCTCTCCCCACCATCTGAATGGCCTTAATGCTGCCTTCCCCTCCCACTGTCACCAGCTATTAACTTCACAGAATAAGGGTGGAAAAGCCCTTCCAATGAGACAGGTAGTTAGTTTCAAAAGTGAGGAGGGCAGTGAGGTGGCAGGGTCCTGTCATAGGGATTGGCAGAGCGGGCCCAGAGGGAGAGCAGGCAGCCAAGACACAGTGGGGAGTCGATGGGCACAGACAACATCAGACAGACAGGCCTGGCCCGGGTGGTGCAGGGCAGAGCAGCCAGATGGGCATTCGGTCCCCTCTGACCCTGGCCCCACACCCCATAGCCTCCCTTTCTCCTCCTTGGCCCTGAGAGCCTGGACTGGGGATAAGGTTATCAAGGATAAGTCTGTGCCTCCCCAGGTGTCAGGGGAGGGACATAAATTTAGGGCGGCAGGTCTATCCCAGCACTCAAACCTGATTTCTAAATATCTCTTTCCTCATTTATCTCTCCCTCTGAGCTGTGCCTCTGTGAGGACAGGACTGGGGCCCATCAGCCTGAACACTCTAGGGCCTAGCACAGTGCCTGGCACGGAGTAAGAGGAAGATCACAAGCCGTGGTGGGTGCAGGTGGGAGTCCTGGGAGGGTGGGGTGCTTTGGGGACCAGGGAGACCAGGCAGGGGTTAGACTGGGCTATAGGGTTAGGGGTCACGTTCAGGCATTCAGTCATTCAGTCATTCGTGAGCGTCCGAGGCTGCTCACTGCAGCACGGCTTGTATAGTAAGAATTCAGAAATGGCCTGCATGGTCATCAACAGGTGACAGATGACATAAATCCTGTGACAGCTGTAAATGGTGACAGGATAAATTTATCATTCAATGAATGCTATCAGACAATGGGGAAACTGTCCATATACTGATCTTAGAAGGATCCCAAAGATCTGTCAAATGAGAAAAAGCAAGATGTGCAAACAGTACATAAAGCATGCTTCCACATGTGAGTGTGCGAGCATGTGCTGTGTGAACATGTGCATGCACACGTGTGAGTGTGTGCACATGTGGTGTGTGTACACTCCTCCAGAAAAATGCAGAAGAAACTGGCCAGAGTGGTTGCCTCCAGTGAGGCTGGAGGACTGGGTTGGGGGAAGACTGACTTTCCACTGTGTATTCTTTTGTACATTTTTGAATTTCAAATATTTCACCTATTCAAAAAATAACTAAACATTTACAAAAACCACTCGTATCATCATTTAGACTTTCAATATATTCTGAGCACCTGCTACATAAAATCAGACGCACAGCTATGTGCCTTTAACCATGAACCCACACGTGACCCTCTCTCTGCTCATTCTCTCATTCATTTTGCATTTTTCCTCTCAAACCTCTATTATCAACATGTGCCTCGGTAATAGGGGTGAGGATGAATGAGATGCCACTTGACCTACGGGGGAATTAAGACTTCTAAACAACTGGCAACACCAGCTAGAAGGGGCTAGTGCCGTCACAGAGGCCAGGCCAAATGCCAGAGGAGAGATGGTAGAATGGGACATGCCAGGGGCTGGGGGAGGGGGGGTAACAGTGCAATGAGGACACCGAGCTTCAGTTTCACAGGATGAGGAGCATTCTGTGGGTAGATGGCAGTGGTGGCTGCACAGCACTGCGAATTTCTTCAGTGCCACTGATCTGTACACTTAGAACAGTGAAGATGGTAAATTGTATGTTATGTGTATTCTACCAAGTTTTACAAAAATAATAAGTGAAGGCTGGGCGCAGTGGTTCATGCCTGTAATCCCAGCACTGTGGGAGGCTGAGGCGGGCAGATCACCTGAGGTCAGGCGTTTGAAACCAGCCCGGCCAACATGGCGAAACCCTTCCTCTACTAAAAATACAAAAATTAGTGGGGCATGGTGGCACATGCCTGTAATCCCAGCCACTCGGGAGGCTGAGGCAGGACAATCACTTGAATCCGGGAGGTGGAGGTTGCGGTCAGCCATGTGCCACTGCACTCCAGCCTGGGCGACAGTGTAAGACTCCATCTCAAAGAAAAAAAAAAAAAGGGAAAACATGCTAGAAGGATGGAAAGAGTGTTTATTCACCCACCACCTGTTGGGCTCTGTGGCAAGTGTTTGATCTTCCAATGGCCCTGCAGGGTGGACATTATTATTCACATTTACAGACGACAGGACACAGAGCCCAGGGAGATCTGTGACATGTTTGCGGCCACATAACCAGAAAGTGGCAGAGCTGGGATTCAAATCCACATGTGTCAGACTTCTTCCCCCTCAACTGGCAGCCTCTGGGGAAGGGAGTGGGAGCTGGAGGGTGGGGACATTTCACAGAAGAGGCAGCCTTGGTGCTGAGTGTTGAGGGGCCGTTGAGTCACTACCGGTAGGCAAGAAGGGTAGGAGAGATCCTGTCTTGTGAGGAGCAGCCTGAGCTGCTGTCACGGGTGTGAACAGTGGGCAGTGTGCCTGTGGACCCACCAGCGTGTTGGGGTGGGAAACAAGGCCAGCAAGGGGCATGGCTGAGGCGGAGGCTCTGAGATGCTCACAGAGGTGTGGGCTTGTCCTGGGCCATGGGGCACCGGCAGGCAAAGCTCTTAACCTCTCTGGCTGGCTGCCATACCTCCTGGAGCTCTTGGGCCCGCTTCCGGAAGACTTTCAGCACCTCCCACTCTATTCCTGATGGTCCCTCAAATATCCCCACAGATCAGGTCAAAAATTCCAGAAAATTTTCTTGAGCCTAGGAGTTCGAGACTGCAGTGAGCTTTGATCATGCCACTGTACTCCAGGCTGGACAACAGAGCAAGACCCTATTTCTAAAAAAAAAAATAATAATAAGAAAAAATGTTCAGAAATTGCTCTGAGGTTAAATCAGATTTATTTTTGATTTAGTGTTTTTCTTTTCTTAAATAGTCCCCTCCCCAGTCATATAAGCTTACGGCCCCACAACCTGGACCTTCCCCTCCCTGGCTGAGCCAGATAGTAAACTATGAGTATTTTTTTTTCCTGGATCCCTTTTGTTTTCCCTGGAGTTAATGATCAGCTTTTTTTTTTAAAATAGACTTTATTTTTCAGAGCAGTTTTAGATTTACAGCAAAATTAAGCAGAAAGTACAGAGATTTCCATAAACCTTCTGCCGCCATATAGGCACAGCCTCCTCCACAATCATCATCTCCCATCAGACTGGCTGCCCACAGCTGTCATCCTGGAGTCTCCCTTCACCATAGCCTTGGGGATTCCGTTCACCTCTCTTCTGTTCATTTATTTATTTAGCAAATAAGTATTGAGTCCTCACTATATGCCCAGCATTGTTGTAGGCACTGGAATACAGCACTGAACAAAATGAACAAAAGTTTCTGCCCAGTCAGAACTTATAATCAAATGGGAGAAATAGACAACAGCCAAGAAAAATATGTGAGGTGTTCATTCCAGTCATGCAAGGCTGGTTCAATATTCAAAAATCAACCAATGTAATCTGCCATATTAACAGATGGAAGAAGGAAAATCACACCACATTGAGCAATGCAGGAAAAGCATTCAAAAAAATTCAGCAACTCTTTATGATAAAAAAAACTCTCAGAAAAATAGGAAAAGGGGGAAACTTCCTCATCATGATAAAGGGCATCTACAAAACACTTTGAGCTAATATCACACTTACCGGTGTGTGAAAGTTATCAGAATCAAAATGGAGTCATGTGTGTTAAAAACCCTGACAAACAGAGCCGGGTAAGGCCACTAAGGGAGACTTCTCACCCACAATGCCTGATAACAAGAACTATCACAAAAGACTGCAGAAACCACAACCTTGCACAAAGGCCATTGTAAACTTACACACACACAAATACTTCTGTGAGGACATCCACTTGCCAACTGCCTGTCCAATCTCAAATTGGGGCCACCCTTGTTATTGATTTTTGTAGCCAAGGATAATTATCTCAAAACAATTATGTTAATTCTCTTCATTTTTCCTTTAAAAACCTTACTCTTGCCGGGCGCGGTGGCTCACGCCTGTAATCCCAGCACTTTGGGAGGCCGAGGCAGGCAGATCACGAGGTCAGGAGGTCAAGACCATCCTGGCTAACACGGTGAAACCCTGTCTCTACTAAAAATACAAAAAATTAGCCTGGCATAGTGGCACGTGCCTGTAATCCCAGCTACTTGGGAGGCTGAGGCAGGAGAATGGCGAGAACCCAGAAGGTGGAGCTTGCAGTGAGCCGAGATCACGCCACTGCACTCCAGCCTGGGTGCAGAGCGAGACTCCGTCTCAAAACAAAACAAAACAGAACAAAAAAACCTTAGGCTTCCTTTGTTTCCCTGAATATGCACATAATTTGCTATTGCATGCATATTCCCATTGCAGTGCTCTATTCCCAAATAAATATCATTTTCTTTCAGCGAGTCTCCCTCTCTGTTTATTATCTAGGTTGACAAGTGAAAGACTGAATGCTTTCTCCCTAAAATCGAGGAAAGGCAAGGATGTCTACTTTCACCATGCTTCTTCAACATATTGCTGGAAGTTCTAGCCAGTGCAAGGCAAGAGAAGGAAATAAAAGTCATAGAGATAATAGAGAAGAAATAAAAGTGTCCCAATTTGCAGATGATATGATTGTCTACACAGAAAACACCAATAAGACTACAAAAAACCTCTAGAACTAATAAATAGGTTCAGCAAGACCACAAGATATAAAAGGATAAAGGAGTCCAAACACGGTGGTTCACACCTACAATCCCAGCACTTTGGGAGGCTGAGGCGGGAGGATCATCGGAGGTCGGGAGTTTGAGACCAACCTGGCCAATATGATGAAACCCCGTTTCTACTAAAAATACAAAAATTAGCTGGGCGTAGTGGCTGACGCCTGTAATCCCAGCCACTCGGGAGACTGAGGTACTAGAATCACTTGAAACTGGGAGGCGGAGGTTGCAGTGAGCCGAGATCGTGTCCCTGAACTCCAGCCTGGGTGATAGAGCGAGACTCTGTCTCCAAAAAAGTAAATCAATAAATAAAAATAAAAAATAAAATAAAAGGATAAAGGACACAAAATTATTATAATTATACTTCTGTATACTAACAATGACCAAGTAGATACTAAAATTGAAAATACACTATAATTGACAATTGTCTAATAAAGTGGAAATACTTAGTGCAAATCTAACAAAACACATACAGCACTTGCATGCTGAAAACTACACAACATTGGTAACAGAAGTCAAGGAAAACCTAAATAAATGGAGAGACATAGCAAGTTGATGGATTGGAAAATTCAACATAGTAAAGATGTCAATTCTCCCAAAATTGATATACAGGTTTAATTCAATTCCTATCAAAATCCCTGCAAGAGTTTTTGTAGATAAAGAGAATATTATTTTAAAATTTACATGGAAAGCAAAGGAACTAAAAATCCCAAGATATTTTAAAAACAGAAGAATAAAGTGGGAGGAATCACTCTACCCCATGTTAAGGCTTATTATATAGCTACAGTAATAAGACAATGTGGCATTAGCAAAGGGATGGACACACAGATCAATGGAACAGAAGAGAGAACCCAGAAATAGACCCATGCAAATAAGCCCAACTGACTTTTGACAAAGGTTCAAAGTAATTCAATAGAGGAAAGATAGCCTTTCGATAAATGGTGTTGAAACAGCCAGACATCCAAAGGCAAAAAAAAAAAAAAAAAAACTCCACCTAACCTTCACACCTAACCTTCACATCTTATACAAAAATTAACTCAAAATGGATCACAGACACAAATGTAGAAGATTAAGCTATAAAACTTGTAGGGCAAGCATGGTGGCTCACGCCTATAATCCCAGCACTTCAGGAGGCTAAGGAGTTTGAGACCAGCCTGGGCAGCAGAGCAAGACCACATCTCTAAGAAAAAATTGGCCAGGGGTCATGGCATGCACCTGTGGTCCTAGCTGCTTGGGAGTCTGAGGTGGAAGGATCCCTTGAGCCCAGGAGTTCAAGGCTGTAGTGAGCTATGATCATGCCACTGCACTTCAGCCTGAGCAACAGAACGAGAGCCTGTTGAAAAAAAAAAAAAAAAAAGAACTAAAACAAAAAACCAACTATGAAACTTTTAGAAAAAATATAAGAGAAAATCTTTGGGATCTTGGGCTAAGGGCCAAGTGAAGAATTCTTAGACTTGACACCAAACGGCCAATCCATAAAAGGAAAAACTGATAAATTGGATTTCATAAAAAAAAACCTGTGTTTTGTGAAGACTTTTGCTCTGTGACAGAGGATGAAAATAAAAATCACAAATAGGAGAAAATATGTATAAGCTACGTATCAACAAATAACTAGTATTTAGACTATAAAGAAATTTTAAATCTCAGAGGTTAGAAAAAAATCAGATAACTCAATTAGAAAATGAGCAAAAAACACATATAGACCTTCACCAAACAGGACCTTCAGATGGCAAATAAGCCTTTGAAAAGATGTTCAACATCAGCAGCTGTTACACTACACACCTCTCAGAATGGCTAAAATAGAAACCAGTAACAACAGCAAACGCTGGCGAGGATGTGGAGAAACTGAATCACTCATACATTGCTGGTGGGAATGCAAATTGGTACAGCACTCTGGAAAACAGTTAGGCAGTTTCTTATAAAACCAAACATGCACTTAACCCAGCAATTGCACTCTTGGGCATTTATCCCAGAAAAAGGAAAACTCATGTTCCCCCAAAAATCTACATACCAATGTTCAGAGCAGCTTTATTCCTAATAGCCAAAATTGGAAACAACTTAAATTCCTTCAACGGGTAAATGGTTAAACAAACTGTTGCACACTCATACCACGGCATACTACTAAGTAATAAAAAGAAAAAAAACACAGCTACACAGGGGAACCTCCAAATCATTTAAAAATTATTTCAATTTTTTGAGTTAACTGAAAGTGTGAAAAAGCCATTTTGAGTGAAAAAAAGCCAATCTCAAAATGTTACATACTCAATCATTCCATTTATATAACACTCTTAAAATGGCAAAATTAGAGAGATGGAGACCGGATTAATGCTTTCCAGGAGTTAAGGAGGGGACAGGGTGTGAGGGAACTGGGTGTGGCTATGAGAGGGCAGTCTAAGGAGCTCTCTTAGACTGGAAACGTCCGGAATCTTCACTCTTGTGCCAGGCTGATAATGGCTCCCAAAAATATGTCCACATCCTAATGCCCAGAACATCTAAATGTTACTTTATCTGGAAAAAAGGTCTTTGCAGATATAATTAACTTGAGGATCTGGAGAGGAGATTATCCTGGATTATCTGGGTGGGCCCTAAATGGCATCACCAGTGTTGTTAGGGATTTCTCTCTCTCTCTCTCTCACACACACACACACACACACACACACACACACACACACACACACTCTGACCCACAGGAAAAGGTGATGGGAAGGCAGAGCACAGAAAGAAGGATTAGATCAGCTGCCAGATGCTAGAAGAGGCAAGGAACGGATTCCATTTGGAGTCTCCAGAGGAAGCACAGCCCTGCCTATACCTTGACTTTGAGCTTCTGATCTCCAGAAGTGTGAGAGCGTAGCTTTATCTTGTTTTCAGCCACCCAGTTTGTGGTGATTTGTTACAGCAGCTACAGGAAACCAACACAACTCTCCTCCTTGTGATACCGTGCTATAGTTTTGCAAGATGTCACCACTGGGGACACTGGACAAAAAATACACATCTCTGCATTATTTCTTACAAATGCATGTCAATCTATAATTATCCCCACATAAGAAGTTTAACTGAAGGATGGGAGCTGGAGGGGAACGAAGTACAACGCCCCTTGATTTTCAGGGCCTGTTAGAGGAACAGCAATGTGGCTGATGGACTGTGAGGTCGGAGAGATAATGGCCTCGATGTGTAGGGGGCAGTGAAGAGGATGGGTTGTACAGGCCTTTCTGTGGGTATTTAAAGACTTTGTCCCGGCCGGGTGCGGTGGCTCACGCCTCTAATCCCAGCACTTTGGGAGGCCGAGGCGGGTGGATCACAAGATCAGGAGATCGAGACCATCCTGGCTAACACGGTGAAACCCCGTCTCTACTAAATATACAAAAAATTAGCCCAGCGTGGTGGCAGGCGCCTGTAGTCCCAGCTGCTGGGGAGGCTGAGGCAGGAGAATGGCATGAACCCGGGAGGTGGAGCTTGCAGTGAGCCGAGATCGCGCCACTGCACTCCAGCCTGGGCGACAGAGCAAGACTCTATCTCAAAAAAAAAAAAAGACTTTGTCCTTCACCCTGAATCAGATGGGAAGCCACTGTAGCATTTTGAGCAAGGATAGACATGATCTGATATTCATGTAAGTGGGCCAGTCTGCTGCCATACTGAGCATAGACTGTGAGGGACACAGTCTATGGCCCTTAACTCAAGGCAGGGAGACCAGTTAGAAGGACAGTGCCATCACTCAGGTAGGAGGCAATGGCTGGTTTGAATAAGATGGACTGGATTCTGAGTATGTTTTGAATAAAAGGTTCGATTCTGAGTATATTTTCAAAGTAGAGCCAGTGGGATTTGCTCTCAGATTGCCCATGGGTATGAAAGAAAGACAGAAGGTAGGATGGCCCTAAAGATGTGGCCTGATCCCAGCTGGAAGCATGGGGCTGCTGTTACTCACATGAGGAAGGTTGGGAGGATAAGTTTGAGATGCTTATTGGACATCCAAAAGAGATGTCAAGCTGGCACTTGGATGTAGGAGGCTGGAGCTTAAGCTGGAAATACACTTTTAGGAGTCAACATTTAGCTGGTAGTTTATACCATGAGACTGGGTGAGCTCACCAAGGGAATGAACATTTAAAGAGAAGAGGCCCAAAGCCTGAGTCCTAGGGCATTCCAACACTAAGAGGTCAGATACAGGGAAAAGCCAGGAAAGGAGGCTGAGAAGGACCCACAAGAAGAATGTGGCATCTTAGAAACCAACTCTAGAGGAAGCGTTCTAGGGAGAAGAGTGATCGACCATGTCACGTGTTGCTGGTGGCCCAGTAAGTTGAAGACTGAGACTTGGCTGTTGCCTGTAGCAATGAGGAGGTCATTTGTTGACCTTGGTGAAAGTTTCGATGGGTCTGTAGGGCAAAGCCAGAAGGGGAGAAGAGGAATTATAGACAGCAACTAGAGAGAGCCCTTTAGGGCAGTTTTATTGTGAAGAGGAGTTGGAGGGAGAAATGGGGTTGCAAAGGTTTCTTTAAAGTGGGGAAATTAACAGCATGTTTGTGAGCTGATGGGAATGAGCCAGTAGAGGGAAACATTGATGATGCTGGGGGAGGGAGAAGACAACAGTTGGGGCAGTTTTCTTGAGTAAGCCTGAGACAAAGCAGGAGTCATTCATCTATAGCAGCAGTTTTCAACTTTGGATGTATGTTAGAATCACCTGGAGAAAAAAATCAAGTTGTAAAAAAAATCGCCATTAGTACACCTCAGACCCATGAAATCAGGGTCTCTGGGGATGACTTTGCAGAGAACGTGGGGAAGGAGTTTTATATGGGCACCAAACAGGCAGGTGTGAGGCATAGTTGTGGGAGCATGTGGAAGTTCTCTTCTGATGGCTATTTCCTCAGTGAAATAGGAAGCAAAATTATCAACTGAGCGTGAGGATAGGGGAGGAGATTTTGGAGGTTTGAGGAGAAGAGCAGGTGTGGAATGGTTATTTAGGTGTGGAAAGGCTGCAGTCATTGGTAATGAAGAGGTCTAGGGTAAGGCTAGGGAGATGAGATGCGAAGGGAGAATAAAGGGCAGGCTCATTGGAGGAGAGGAGGGTAGGAACTGAGAGGCTGGGGTCCTGGAAGGATCCTCTACATGGACATTCAAATTATCAGGAATTGGCCAGGTGTGGTGGCTCATGTCTGTAATCCCAGCACTTTGGGAGGCTGAGGAGGGCAGATCACTTGAGATCAGGAGTTCAAGACCAGCCTGGCTAGCATGATGAAACCCTGTCTCTACTAAAAATACAAAAATTAGCTGGGTGTGGTGGTGTGTGCCTATAATCCCAACTACTCGGGAGGCTGAGGCAGGAGAATCATTTGAACCTGGGAGGCGGAGGTTGCAGTGAGCCAGGATCATGACTCTGCACTCCAGCCTGGGCAACAGAGTGAGACTCTGTCTCAAAAATAAATAAATAAATAAATAAAATAAAATAAAAAAATAAAAAGCCAAATGATCAGGAATTAAGACGGGGGAGGTGGCAGAGAGAGAGATGTAGGAGGGTTCTGCCTGGATCTCAGTCAATGGAAGGTGGAACTGGGGGAGGGGCAGCCTCACATTTGATGCTTCAGCAAAACACAAGTATCTATAGGCCCCAGGTGTTGCGTCAGAATTCTTGTTTCTTGTATTCCATGTCTTCCTCTTTTTTAGTTTAATTCCTTATTGGGGTGATCCTCATAATTGTATTTTATTTGTTATTATTTTGCTAAGACTGGTGTGGTAGTCTCCTTACTGGTATTCCTGCCTCTAGTCTTGCTGCACTTCATG
The DNA here is from genome assembly GCF_000001405.40 of Homo sapiens. Lineage (NCBI taxonomy): Eukaryota > Metazoa > Chordata > Mammalia > Primates > Hominidae > Homo > Homo sapiens. Next base: position 151,290,260 of record NC_000007.14, read on the forward strand.
TGGCCTCTGACAAACCTCACTGCTTCTCTACATTTCCTCTAGTGTAACTTCTTGAACTACTAAATTGGCCCTGATCACTTCCTTGCTTAAAATCTTGCCGTGAGCCACCATCCCTAACAATAATCAGCTCACATTTGTCGATCCCTGGCTGTGGCTGTCACTGTGTTGAGTGCTTTATGTGTGTTCTTTACGTTGATCCTCATAGGCACTCCAAAAGGCATGTCTGATGATTGCCCTTATTCCATAGGTGATGACACTGAGGGTAAGGGAGGTTAGGTAACTTGCCCAATGCCTTGTAGCTGACGTTATCACAGCATCCAAAGCTTCTTATAATTGATCACTCTCCCTATACACTTCCTTCCTTTTTTTTCTTTCTTCTTTCTTTCTTTCTTTCTTTCCTTCTTTCTTCCTTTCTTCCTTTCTTCCTTCCTTTCTTTTTTCTTTCTTTCTTTCTTTCTTTCTTTCCTTCTTTCTTCCTTTCTTCTTTTCTTCCTTCCTTTCTTTCTTTCTTTTTTTATGGGGTCTCGCTCTGTCACCCAGGCTGGAGTGCAGTGGCGCAATCTCGGCTCACTGCAAGCTCCACCTCCCGGGTTCACGCCATTCTCCTGCCTCAGCCTCCTGAGTAGCTGGGACTACAGGTGCCCACCACCATGCCTGGCTAATTTTGTTTTTGTATTTTTAGTAGAGATGGGGTTTCACCGTGTTAGCCAGGATGGTCTGGATCTCCTGACCTCGTGATCCACCCACCTCGGCCTCCCAAAATGCTGGGGTTACAGGCGTGAGCCACCGCGCCTGCCCTGTACACTTCATTTCTTACCATTTCTTCCTACCTTGAACTTTGTGCTTTGGCAAAGCTGAATTCTTAAAGGTCCCAGGACCAGTCAGACTCCTGGTAGGAAGGATGTGGCACAGAAAGAGGGTTTAGTTAAAGAGCAGTAATGAAGGGCCCCTTAACAAGAGGTGGGCAGGGCTAAGGGAACCAACGATGATGGTAAAGCACCCAGACCCCAGCACCAAAGGGAGACCAAGGGGCAAGGAGCAGGGCTGTGCTATCAGAACCATGTTGGAGTTGAGACCATGGAAGAGGGTGTGTGTCATAGGAACTACGGGGACATGCAGCCACTGCCAAAATCAGGATAAATCCCATGACTCACCTTTCCTCCACACCTCCAGTCTTCTGCTGGGGCCTGCATTGGCAAATCCAACCAGAAGCCAGAAGATAAGAGAGCTGGGGTAATGCAGTCTGTAGAGGTCAGCTTGCTTGGGCATAAATGAAGCAGGAGAAGGATAGAGAATGGATCAGGAGGGACAAAAAGCATTTCTGTCCCTTGCTTAGAGGAATAAATCCCATGACCCCCACCCAGGGGAAACACAAAGTCCCATCAGCCACTGGATTATTGGTGATTTCAGTTCAATCATACTCCCAATAGGAGCCAAAGCAATAATGTTAGCGACCAGGGCTGCTCTTCATATAAAGTAACAGGAAAAAAAGGGAAGGGAAAAAAAAGCTCTATCTTGCTGGTCATAAGACCTAAGTTGATGTTGATCCTTTTGGCTTCCTTCCTCCACCCACTGGTGGAAGCAGCATCTCTGCTGCTCTGATTTTACCTCCTTGGTTGACCCAAATCTTCATCCCCACAAGATACAAGTTCTTAGTAGCTCTGTCTTTTTTTTTTTTATATGGAGTCTCACTCTGTCGCCTAGGCTGGAGTGCAGTGGTGCGATCTTGGCTCACTGCAAGCTCTGCCTCCTGGGTTCACGCCATTCTCCTGCCTCAGCCTCCTGAGTAGCTGGGACTACAGGCACCCACCACCACGCCTGGCTAATTTTTTGTATTTTTAGTAGAGATGGGGTTTTGCCATGTTAGCCAGGATAGTCTTGATCTCCTGATCTCGTGATCCACCTGCCTCGGCTTCCCAAAGTGCTGGGATTACAGGCGTGAGTCACCGTGCCCGGCCCTTAGCAGCCCTATCTTTATGGGGTTGCCACTGTGGCCACTGACCATCACTATTGGACAGGAACAACTATGAGTCGCCCCAGCAAGTGCTCTGGTCCAGATAGAACTCTCTTTACCCCTATTCCACAGCAGCAGCCAATTCCCCTTGGTAACTGGGTACCTGAGCAGTATGGTGACCCCCTTTGACACCTATGGATTCAGCAGCACGAGAAGCCCAACCTGGCCAGTAGGAGGCTTCAGCTTCCAATGGAGTGAAAACAAGATGTGTTCTCTCTTAAAAGTGGCTGAGGCTGGGCGCGGTGGCTCACGCCTGTAATCCCAGCACTTTGGGAGGCCGAGGTGGGCAGATTACCTGAGATCAGGAGTTCGAGATCAGCCTGGCCAACATGGTGAAACCCCGTCTCTACTAAAAATACAAAAATTAGCCGGGCATGGTGACACACACCTGTAATCCCAGCTACTCGGGAGGCTGAGGCAGGAGAATTGCTTAGGCCGGGAGATGGAGGTTGCAGTGAGCCGAGATCGTGCCACTGCACTCCAGCCTAGCCAACAGAGCGAGACTCTGTCTCAAAAAAAGAAAAAAAAAAGTGATTGAGAGAGAACACTTACCATGGCTCATGCCTGTAATCCCAGCACTTTGGAAGGCCGAGGTGGAAAAATCTCTTGGGGCCAGGAGTTGGACACCAGCCTAGGCAACAGAGTGACACTCTGTCTCTAAGAAAAATTTTTAAAAGTTAGCCAAGCCCAGTGGCACACGCCTGTAGTCCTAGCTACTCAGGAGGCTGAGGTGGGAGGATTCCTTGACCCCAGGAGTTCAAGGTTGTAGTGAGCTATGATTGCACCACCGCACCCCAGTCTGGGAGATAGAGCAAGACTTTGTCTTAAGACATGGTTAAGATGATAAATTTTATGTTATCTGTATTTTACTACAACAAAAAATTTTGAAAAAAAAGGACCCAACTCACACCCATTACATTGGTTAAAATCAAGAAGACTGACCAACCCAAGCACTGGCAGGAAGGCAGAGCAAATACTGAAAAAGGCTTGGCAGCTTCTTGACATGTCTCCCATATGACCCAGCCATTCTACTCCTAAATGATTATTTCCTGCCTTCTCCACTCTCTTCAAATCTCCAGCATCTCCCTCAGAACAAATAAATTGAGTCTCCAGGAATACTCTCTCAAAGAACAGGAACCTATGTATTCTGGCTATAGGGGAAACAGCACCATATTTTGGCCATTGGCTTAAAGTATCTACCACATCGTCTAGGGGAGCACCCCAGCCTCACAGGGTTCTGTCCTCCACTCGGTGCCATAACTGAGCCTTCAGTGGGCCATTTCCCAGATTCACCCACACAGTTGCAACTGAGCGATAGGCACAGCGTAAGACCAGTGGATTCTCTGGGCATAAACTCAGTGCCACAGGTCTTTTGTTATTATGAGTTCCTTGGTTGGAGATGATGTTGTAGGGGTTACCATGACAATAAATAGGGCATTCTGGAAATCTTCAAACAGTGGGACTGGCAGAAGCAGTGCAAGTAGGGAAAGCAAGTCTGTATCTGGAATAGGACTCCACTCTTCTTTTGTTTGTTTGTTTTAATAATAAAATTCTGTTAGTTACTCCAAAGGACTCCATCCTTAAGAGGACAAATTGATAGCCGCCTCATGAAGGAGTGATACAAAGTTAGCATCAACCTATTTCCAGGGGGCTGGCTGGTTCCTGTGGATGGTGCAATGTCAGGGATTCAATGTTGGTTATTTCTAGTATTTAGCAGTTTGGGAACTCAATGGTAATGGCATCCATATGAGCCCCAGTGGCGGGTACCTACTGAGGAAGGATTGGGTAGGGGAAAAACAAGCTGGCTGACATTCACAGGAGGAATTGATCATTTCATCAGCCTGATCATTGAAAGCCTCCTCTGCAGTGGGTGACTCTGATGGGAATGTGCATGATACATGAGTATCTTCATGTGGTGCCCATTCTGGGACCTCTGTCCACATACCTCTTTCCCAGACTTCCTGGTCACCAGTCTTCTGGCTTTGACCAAAGTTCCTGACCAGCCACACAATCTATTACCCATTACCCATTAGTCAATGTAGAGCCATACCCTAAGCCATCTTGCCTCCAAAGCAAAGCAGACAACTAGATTGGCTAAAATTTGTCTACTGGGAGGCTTTCCCTTCACTACTGTCTTCTGGGCCCATTTCTGCATGGAACTTAGTGCAGTGGTCATACACTTCCATCTGATGACCCTTCTGTAAACAATAGATTGATTTTTCTTCATCGTCTATTAAGTAGGCAGAGGGAACTCACTATGAAGCCATAGTTGTGAGTTGAGGGAGAGGTAGCAAAAAAGTAGGAGTGGATACCATTAAAGTTTGAGCTGCTGACCCGGGCAATTATTTGTACCTTCTGGACCTGAGCGAGCTTATTCTTACAGCTGCTATGCAATGCAAGCTGCACACATTCAGCTTTATGACTTGGTGGATTAGGTAAACTCAGCTCATGATGAACAGCGCATGCTGCACCGTTACTTGGTACTCCAAGGACAGGCATTTAGTCCTTACAGGATCTAGATTTAGATTTTCCCACCTATTTATTCTTTCCCAGGATCATTATTCTTCATTGCATTACTGTGCTTCCATCTGGTATCATTTTCCTTCTTCCCAAATAAATTGCTTTATTATTTGCTTTACTGCAGGTCTGCTGGCAAAAATTCTGTTGGCGTGCTTATTAAAAAAAAGACAACTTTATTTTGCCTTTATTTTTGAAGGTAATATATCTTTTTCTTTTTTCCTTTGGCTGTTTTTTTAAGATTTACTCTTTGACTCTGGCTTTTTGCAGTTTTACTACAGTGGAACCAAGCATGGTTTTCTTTGTATTTATCCTGCTTACAGGTCATATGGAACTTCTTAAATCTGTGACTGAAATCTTTCATCATTTTTTGAACACTCTTGACCACTATCCCCTCCTATGTTATTTCTGCTTCAATGTCTCTCCTGTCTTTCTGGGGCACCAGAATCATGTATATTAGGCTGTTTCACTGGGTCTCATGTGTCTGTTATACCATTTTCTATATCTTATTTTTTTCTCCCTTGCCTATGTCCTTCAATATGAATATTTTCTACTGAGCTAACTTTTAGTTAACAAAGCCTCTTATCTGCAGTTCTCGTCTGCTGTTGAATTCATCTACTAGAGTCTTGAATTTAGCTATTTTATTGTTCAGTTTATGTTTTTTATTCTCTTTTTTTAGATTTGAGGTTTCTAACAATACTCCCCACCTTTTCCTTCCTATTTTCTTGAAAATATTATTTTTAAATATTCTTTAATAATTATTTATCTTCTCGAACGTATGCATTAGTTCATTCTTACATTGCTACAAAGAAATACTTGGCCAGGCATGATGGCTCACGTCTGTAATCCTAGCACTTTGGGAGGCTGAGGCAGGCGGATCACCTGAGGTCAGGAGTTTGAGACCAGCCTGGCCAATGTGGTGAAACCCCATTTCTACTAAAAATACAAAAATTAGCCGGGTGTGGTGGCACATGCCTGTAATCTCGGCTACTTGGGAGGCTGAGGTGAGAGAATCGCTTGAACCTGGGAGACGGAGGTTGCAGTGAGCCCAGATTGTGCCACTGGACTCTAGGCTGGATGACAGAGCGAGACTCTGTCTCAAACAAAACAAAACAAAACAAAACAAAACAAAACAAAACAAAAAAACTTGAGACTGGGTAACTTATAAAGAAAAGAGGCTTAATTGGCTCATGGTTCTGCAGGCTGTACAGGAAGCATGGCTGGAGAGGCCTCAGGAAACACAATCATGGTGGAAAGTGAGGGGAACCTGGCATGTCTTCACAAGGCCAGGGCAGGAGGAAGGGAGGGAGCGGGAAGGTGCTACACACTTTTAAACAACCAGACCTCAAGATAACTCACTCTCACTGTGACAACACCAAGGGGGATGGTGTTAAACCACAAGAAACCATCCCCACGATCCAATCACCTCCCACCAGGTCCCACCTCCAACCTTGGGGATTACAATTTGACATAAGATTTGGCTGGGGACACAGATCCAAACCATGTCAACATATTTATTTAAAAATCTACATCTAATAACTCCAATATCTAGATCACCTGTGAACCTGTTTCCCTTTTCTATTCTCCCCTTGGTTCTCTCTCATTTGGTCTTGTTTTTGGTATGCCTAGTAATTTTTTTACAGCTTTACTGAGGTATGATTGATATGTAATAAACTTCACACATTTAAAATATACAATTTGATAAATTTTGGCATACGTATTTATTGTGAAACCATCACCACAATCAAGATAATGAATGTATCCATTACCCCCAGAAGTTTCCTTGTGTCCCTTGGTAATCCATTGCTTTCTATGTCCTCCCCCACCATCCCCAGGCAACCACTGAACTATCAGTATAGACTCATTTGCATTTTCTAGAATTTTATATAAATCAAATCACACTGTATGTGTTTTTGGTATGGCTTCTTTCACTCAGAATAATTATTTTGAGACTTATTGTGTAATTGTATATATCAATAGCTTATTCTTTTTTATTGCTGAATAGTATTCCATTGTGTGGATATACCACAATTTGTCTATTCATTTACCTTCTGATGAACTTGTGGATTGTTTCCACTTTGGGGCTATTAAAAAAACAAAATGCTGCAACATTCTTGTACAAATCTTTTTGTGAAACTATGTTGTTGTTGTTTTAGACAGTGTCTCGTTTTGTTACTCAGGCTGGAGTGTAGTGGCCTAATTATAGCTCACTGCAGCCTCAACCTCCTGTGCTCAAGCAATCCTCCTGCCTCAGCCTCCCAAGTAGCTAGGACTACAGGTGCAACACAAAGGCCTGGCTAATTTTTACATTTTTTTTTTTGGGGGGTAGAGACAGGGTCTTGTGTTGTCCAGGCTGGTCTTGAACTCCTGACCTCAAACAGCCCTCCCACCTCAGCCTCCCAAAGTGCTGGGATTACAAGCATGAGCCACCATGCCTGTTTTCATTTCATATGTTTTCATTCCTCTTGGATAAATACCTAGATGAGGAATAACTGGGTCATATTGTAGGTGTATGTTTTATCTTTTAACAAGCTGCTAAGCTGTCTTGCAATGTGATTATACCACCACCAGTGTATGAGAGTTCCATTTGCTCTACATTTGCAGTCAGTCTTTTTAATATTAGCTACTTCAGTGGGTGTGTAGTGATATCTCATTTAAATTTCATTTTTGGCAAGGCATGGTGGCTCACACCTGTAATCCCAGCACTTTGGGAGGCCAAGGCAGGTGGATTGCCTGAGTCCAGGAGTTTGAGAACAGCCTGGGTAACATGGTGAAACCCCATTTCTATAAAATACACAAAAAATAGCCAGGCATGGTGGCACAGGCCTGTAGTCCCAGCTACTTGGGAGGCTGAGGCAGGAGGATCGTTTGAGCCTGGGATGTGGAGGTTGCAGTGAGCTGAGAGGGCGCCATTGCACTCCAGCCTTGGGAGCAGAGCAAGACTCTGTCTCAAAACTAAATAAGTAAATAAATAAGTTTTATTGTTCTTAGTGACTAATGATTTTGAGCATCTTTTCATGTGTTTATTTGCCATCTATATATCTTCTTTGGTGAAGTGTTCAGATCTTTTGCTAATTTTTTTCAAGGATGTGTCTCGATGGTAATTTTGATTGAATTCGAGACATTGCATGTGAAAAAGAGGCTCTGGGTGATATGTATTCCTACTTTATATTGGCAGGCAGATGGAAGACGGGCAAATCACTTTGGTGCAGCTAAGGGTGGGCTGCTGGCTTTGCTCAGGCTGGCCTTCCTGGCTTCTCTATTTGCCTACAGCATAACCCTTCAGTATCTTTAGGTGAAAGGTTGTATTTCATGTTCTTTCTGTTCTGGAAGACACTGAACCCCATATTCTGTCTCCTCTCTATCTTGATACCACTGAATGACTGTGTTTCAGCCTCTAACCAGATGCTTGCTGTTTGATTTCTTGCCCCTTGTTCTGGAAGGCCAAGGAGACTGAAGAGCCATCATGGGTGTGGCCACAGCCAGAGCCCTCTCAGCTCCAGGATCTTGAGGATAGCACAACCCAGTGAGATTCATGGCGGCTCCTGGTGAATCTGTATAATCCTCCAGGTCTAAGGTCCCAGGAGCCTCAGAAGCACCCGTGGAGGTGGGATGGATCCTGCCAGATGATTTCCAGTCCAAGCAGGTAGCGAGAGGTGTGAAGTGAGTCCTGTTCCTATCTGGGATCTTCGTGTTCTTCCAAAAGTAAGACTCCAACCGGGGAGGCACCAAAAGCAGCAGGGAAGGGGAAGAGGTATGCTGATGGAAGAATGGTGACTGAGGGACATCACCCCCCACCCCTACCCCTGCAGTCTAGAATGATCCTTTCATAAGCAGGATGAGCGGAACTTCAGGATTCTGGTGTCACTTACAGCGCTGCCTTAGTGAGCCTTGCTCAGGGTCACTCGCCCCTAGTACCTCCTGTGGGAAGGTGACCTTCCACTCCTGGGGGAGCAGGCAGAGCAGGAAGTCTTGAGGAAAAGACAGGAACGGGAGCATTTCCTTTGGGTTGTTAGTAACCCTGGAATAGCCCCTATGTCTTTTGTTGTTTAATATTTTTAACTTTTTCTTGTGAAAAAATTAAATAAATACACAAGCTGACTGGGTAGTCTAATGAGCCCCCATGTACCCATCACCCAGCTTCAACAAGATACAGCCAGTTTCGTTTCATCTATGCTCCTACCCACTTCCCCCTTCTTGTATTACCTTAAAGAAACTCCTAGACGTCATATTATTTCATTTGTAAGTACGTCAGTGTGCATCTCTAAACAGTAAGACTTCTTTTTATATATATGTAAATATATATAAAGCCATAATACATAATATATCAATATTCGATATTATTATCATATTAATAGCTAATACATTATGGTTTTCTATACATACAACCATAATATCAATATATGTAACCTATATATAACCATAAAACCATCATCGCACCTAAAAAATTAAAAATACCTTATTCATTTCATCAAATATCCAGGAAGTGTTTAAGTTTCCAGTTGTCTTCTAAACTTCTAAACTATCTTTTAAACTATAGCTTGCTTATTTGAATCAAGATTCAAATAAGATTTACACATTGAGATAATTTGATCCATCTTTTAAGCCCCTTTTACCCTGTTTCTTGCATCTGTGTGAGCATGCATGTGTGCTTGTGGGTGTGCATGTATGTGTGTGTGTGTGCACATGAGCATTTGCATGAGTATGTGTATGTGCATGCATGAATGCGTGTGTCATGTGCATGCGTGAATGTGTGTGCATGTGAGTGTGTGTGCATGCGTGAATGTGTGTGCATGTGAGTGTGTGCGTGTGTGCATGTGTGTGTGCATATGCATGCATGAATGTGCGTGTGCATGTGTGCAAGTGCATGTGTGAATGTGTGTGTGCATGTGTGCCTGTGCATGTGTGAATGTGTGTGCATGCATGAATGTGTGTGCGTGTGTGCATATGCACACAAGAATGTGTGTGTGCATGTGTGCATGTCCATGCTGAATGTGTGTGCACATGTGCATGTGTGAATGTATGTGTGCTTGTGTGTGCATGTGCATGTGAATGTGTGTGTGCATGTGCATGTATGAATGTGTGTGCTCGTGGGTGCATGTGCATGTGTCAATGTGTGAGTGTGTCTGCATATGCATGCATGAATGTGTGTGTGCATGTGAGTGTGTGTGTGCGTGTGTGAGTGTGTGTGCATATGCATGCATGAATGTGCGTGTGCATGTGTGCATATGCATGTGTGGATGTGTGAGTGTATGTGCACATGTGTGCATGTGCATGTGTGAATGTGTGTGCATGGGTGAGGAAGCAGGCCATTTGTCCTTCAGGGTTTCCCATGGCCTGGACCTCGCTGGCTGCACCTCTGTGGGGGGCTCCTGTGCTTTTCCACCAGGAGGGGCACCCTGTGGGGTTGTCTCTCCCTGTGATATTAACTGCAACAGATGGTCAACAATAGATTCATTAATTCAGCATTTGGTCCTACACTAGTGGGCCTGAAAAGCTTCCTCTTGGAGATGCAGGAGAAGGACAAGGCAGGCTCCTGTGTCCTCTTACTTCTCTCTCCCAAAACTCCGCTTCTCCAGACCTGCCCCAAGGGGTGCAATCAGAATGGTTCTCTTCTGCCCCAGCCCTCAGGGCCCCGCTTTTGGTGGGTCCTGGTGCCCCACCCTGTAGAGGCTAGATCCCTGCGGAATGAAGAATGAGGAAATTGATGAGACAGCAGCTGCCATCTCTGCAGTCCTCCTTCCAGGTAACAGCCCAGGTGCTGGGTCAGGCCAGGAGGGGAAATGCCTTAAGGCAGCGAAGCTTTCTCAGCATCCTCAACTCAGGTGGCCTGACTGCTTGGTGACAGGAGTTGAGGATGGAACAAACCATCCTGATGGTGGCCCCTGAATAAAGACTTCTGGGCCACAAGGGAACAAGGATGTGTTGAGTGACAGCATGGTTCCTCAGGCAGACCCGGGTCCAGACACCAACTGCACCACCTAATCGGCTGTGTGCCATTGAGGACATTACTCCTGTCCCTGTCATAGGCTGATAATGCCCCCCAGAGACACCAGGTCCCCATTGCTGGTACCTGTCAACCTTACCTTATTGGAAAAGGGTCTTTGCAGATGTGATTAAGTTAAAGCTTTTGACATGGGGACTGTCCCAGATGGTCCAGGTGGGCCCTAAATGTGGTGGGAAATGTCCTCATAAGAAAGGTAGAGGGACATTTTACACAAGGAGAAGACCACGCGAAGACGGAGTGGAAGAAGATTGAAAGACGCTGGCCATGCAGATTGGAGTGATGCAGCAACAAGCCAAGGTAAGCTGGCAGCCACAGGAGCTGGAAGAAGCAAGACTCCACTCTAGAGCCCCTGGATCCCTGATTTCAGAGTTCTCCAGAACTGGGAGAGAATACATTTCTGCTGTTCTAAGCCACCAAGCTTGTGGTAATGTGTTACAACAGCCACGGGAAACTAACTCATGCTGTATGCCTCAGTTTCCTCCTCTGCAGAATGTACAGTGGGCCCCTATGGTGGGGGAGAAAACCTAGTGGGAGGCTAGGAGGTGGTAGCTAGCAGGAACCCAGCCCTCCAAACTTGCCCACCTCCTCTCTTCACCCTCACAGTTGCAAGGTTTGTCCCAGTGGCCTTTGGTACAATGTGACCCACCTTCCTGGCCATGGTTGATGGTCCGAGGAGGTAAGCCAGAGTTCATCTGATTGACTCGGTGTCTCCCCAAGTGGCCAGGCCTGCAGCAAGCCTCCTCAGCCTTCCAAAGACACCCTGTTTTATGCCATGTGGGCCAGAGGCGTGGAGAAACCAGCAAAGGGAGAGAGGGGGAGAGGACACTGAAAGAAGGGCCAGGGAACAGGCAGTGTGCCCTTCCCCTGAGATGTGGCCTGGGGGTGCTGGGAGAGGTCCCATGGTTCCCCAGGCAGGTGCTGGGCGAGTTAGGTGAGCCTGCCTCAGGCCCTGCAACACGTCTCACTTGGAACCCCTGTCCAAGGCCATGGTCTACACCTGCACTGCCTGTCATCACAGCGAGGCCCCTTTCCTCTTTGGAGTATGTCTTCTCTGTGAGGGGAGATTGGTGCCCGTTGGATTGCTGCAGCATCCCTAGCACCTCGCACACAGTAGGTGCACAATACGTATTTGCCAAGAGGATAAATGAGTGAACAGAAAGATCTGGAGTGAAAATGGACAGTCTGAGGAGAGCGTCTGGCAGAAGCTTGTTTGACAAGAACATCACTTAGGGAGGCATTGGGTTCAGCGTTCAAGATTGTCATGTCACCTTGAATCCTCAGACCTGCCCTTGGTGCCACTGTACTGGTTCCAAGATCTGCGTCCAAGAAAGGTGAGGTCCTCTGCCCAAGACTGGCTGGCTTTTAACACACAGCTGGTCCTCAGCCTCAGCCTGTGACCCCACCTGCCTTGGAGCTCAGCGGAGTCTTCTGATGGAGATGGGAGACAAATACAGCGAGAGTGGTCCGGAACGTGGGCACCTCTCTACTCATGCTCATGGCTACCTTGTCTGTTTCCTTGGATGGACTGGCTCGGAAACACAGGTGGCATGAGAGAGGCGGCAGGACTGGAGGAGCCACGCTGCCTGGGGCCCTCCCCTGTGGCCGGTCCAGGGAGGAATAGCTCCAGGAGGGAGCCTCGTGGTGGCAGCTGAGGGCCAAATGAGCAGGTCAGTTCTTCGAGCACGTGTGACTATTGGAACAGAGCAACGACCTAAGGTTTAAGCCTTAAAAAGGGCATTGAAGTTAAGGGACTAGACACAGCAGCCCAAGAAGGGACCTGTTATCCACGGCACCACTCACCGTCCGGCTGACCGAGTAATGTTTGGAGACAAGAGAGGTCCCCAAGTGGGGAGGGTGTGGGTGGGACCAGGGCTCCCCAGCCTGTCCCTGCCCTCTCCATCCGACCTGGCTCTTCCCAAACCCCTGTTCCCCCAAATATGCCATCCTGATGCCCGCATGTGATACGCCGGCTCTCCATCTGCCTCTGGAGCAGTACTGGAGCAGAGCTCAGGGGGAGTCTGTCCTGTTCCTCTGCACACAGCACCCCAAGACTTTGCAGGGAAAACTTGTCACAAGGCTCAGATTCCCGTCCCCTCTCGGGCTCAGATTCCTGATCCAGGAACCCGCATTTGTTAAACGTGTGTGGTCACGACATAGGGACTATAATTTTTTTTCTTTTTTCTTTCTTTCTTTTTTTTTTTTTTTTTTTTGAGACGGGGTCTCCCTCTGTCGCCCAGCCTGGAGTGCAATGATGTGATCTCCGCTCAGAACAACCTCCGCCTCCGGGGCTCAGGTGATTCTCCTGCCTCAGCCTCCCGAGTAGCTGGGATTACAGGCTCCCGCCACCACGCCCGGCTAATTTTTGTGTTTTTGGTAGAGACACGGTTTATTCATATTGGCCAGGCTTGTCTCGAACTCCTGACCTCAGGTGATCCACACGGCTCGGCCCCTCAAAGTGCTGGGATTACAGGCGTGAGCCGCTGCGCCCGGCCGGGACTATACTTTTTTTAGAGTCCTTATTTTATAGAGTTCGGAACTGAGATATTTTCAGATGCAATGATGGATCGTCTGGGATTTGCTTTTAGAGAGAAACAGGCGGCGGGGCTCCGCTGGAGGTGTAAGAGAACCTGGACTGGCTTCTTCGTTACATCCGGTCTGCTTTTGAATGTATTTGAATTCTTTTGGAAACCATTTCCCGCCCCTCGGAGACTCTGAGGGAGGGGCGGGAGACCCAGGACCCTGGCCGGGTTGGGTTTGGCGTTGGCTGGCGGGCACCGGGGCTGGCAGGCGCAGGGGCTGCGGCTGGGCGGGCTCTGGCGCCACCTGGCGGCCGTCGCGGGACCGACGCCCCTTGGAGCGCCCCCGGGCCCGCGGAATCAGCCGCTGAGCAGCAGCCGGGAAGGGGCGAGGGAGCCCCACTCCATGCCAGGCACTGGCTCACGCCTGCTGCCCTGACCCTGGAGGCCCCTTCAGCGCAGCACCCCAGCCAACTGCGCTCTCCCAGGGTCCACCTCGGATTCTCACCCCCTACTCCCGTCAGAGGCCACTTGGCCCCGACAGTCCTCTGTGTGGATGACAGGTCACGACTTGACGATGGCGGGGTCCTCCTGCTGGGTGGGAGTGGGCGCGCCTGCGCGTACGGCACGGCCAAGCAACTCGCTAGGGCCCTGCTTTTTGTAATTTCAACCAAGTTACACCGTTTCAACAAGAGCTTTGTGTAGTAAGTTTCTTTCTTTCTTTCTTTCTATCTTTTTTTTTTTGAGGCAGAGTCTCGCTCTGTCGCCCAGGCTGGAGTGCAGTGGCGCGATCTCGGCTCACTGCAACCTCCAGCTCCTGGGTTCAAATGATTCTCCTGCCTCAGCCTCCCGAGTAGCTGGGATTACAGGCGCGCACCACCACGCCCAACTAATTTTTGTATTTTTAGTAGAGACGGGGTTTCGCCATATTGGCCAGGCTGGCCTCAAACTCCTGACCTCAGGTGATCTGCCCGCCTCAGCTTCCCAAAGTGCTGGGATTACAGGCGTGAGCCACTGCACCCGCCTTTTTTTTTTTTTTTTATATGAAGGACACCCGGCAGTGGCTCTCAGTGGGTCCCGGTGCTGGCGGGAGCGTGGGGGGAGCAGGCTCTGTCTGCGTGCGTCTTTTAGGGGTCCTAGGGCTGACTCCACCTGAGAACCCCGTCCGGGGCTGTGTTAAGCACCTTTTGTAGAACTGTATTTTTATTAAAACATCAAGGCCGGGCGCAGTGGCTCATGCCTGTAATCTCACCACTTTGGGAGGCCAAGGCGGGCGGATCACGAGGTTAGGAGATCGAGACTATCCTGGCTAACACGGTAAAACCCGTCTCTACTAAAAATACGAAAAATTAGCCCGGCTTGGTGGCAAGTGCCTGTAGTTCCAGCTACTCGGGAGGCTGAAGCAGGAGAATGGCGTGAACCCAGGAGGCGGAGCTTGCAGTGAGCTGAGATCGCGCCACTGCACTCCAGCCCGGGCGACAGACAGAGCGAGACTCCGTCTCAAAAAAAAAAAAAAAAAAAAATCAAATCCGTGTTCCTGTAAAACAAACAAACAAACAAACAAAAAGTTACACAGTTTAGAATCACGCTGTTACAGGAGATGTCTGAAAAAAAGCAGTTCCCACCTCCCACTTCCTGTCCTCCACAGCGGGGCTCTTAGCTCTTCCAGCTGATTCTCTTCTGTTTTGCCTCCATGTCTCTAAACAACAGATTTCCATCGTTAGCGTTTCCTACTGGCTACGGAAGAGGAGGACTTAACTCCTCCTCACACCCACCCCACCCCTCCTACCTCCTCATCCGCCACTGAATTCTTACCTTGGGTCAGATGGATGTTGATGGGTTAGGTAACTACTGTTCACAAATGAGCGGTGGACTATATATTAGGACTATTTTTCCTTTCTGCCACCTTTTTCTTTTCTCTGGATTTACTGATTGTCTTGAACTTCCTTTCACTTAGTTCTCCAGATGTTTATGGCTATTTTATCACCAAATTCTTCCCCAGCTGTGTAACTCTCCTTTTGATAAATTCCTGTCCGATAGTCTGTTCATTTCAGTGTTTTGAAGAACTCTTTCCCGGGGCTTCTGCCCTGCAGCCCAGAGAGGCCCTTGCCTCCCTCTTGGTTGGCCGACCCTGGTTCCTGGATCGTTTTTCTTGTTTCTTCCTTTATTCTCCCATTTTAATTGAGTACGTCCTTCCATAGCTTCCTGAAAAAAGATGCTTGAGAGGTAAAGTTTTGAGAGCTTGTATATCTGACCCTGTTTTTATTTTACCGTAACACTTGCTTGGTAGCTTAGCTGGGTATGTAATTGTTATCCGGGTATCAGTTTCCCTCAGTTTTGGTTTTTGATTTTAGAGACAAGATCTCACTCTGTTGCCCAGGATGGAGTGCAGTGTTGCTCACAGCTTTGCAATCTTGAACTCCTGGGCTCAAGCAGTCCTCCCACCTCAGCCTCCCAAGAAGCTGGGACCACAGGTGTGCACCAGCACACCTGGCTAATTTTCTAAACTTTTTTTTTTTTTTTTTTTTTTTTTGAGATTGGGTGCCTTACTTTGCTTCCCAAGCCAGTCTTGAACTCCTGGCTTCAAGTGATCCTCCCACCTTGGCCTCCCAAAGTGTTGGGATTACAGGCATGAGCCACTTCACCCAGCCCCCTCAGAGTGTTGAAGGCATGGCTACCTTCTAGTGTTGTAGATGAGAAGTCTGAGGCCACTCTTATCCTTCAGCCTTCCTATTACATCTATCTATATGTAGGATTGGAAGCTTGTAGAGTCTTCTCTGTGCCCTCAATATCCCCAGAGTTCATGACAGTGTGCTTTGAATGGGCCTAATTTTACATTGTACAGAGTATTTGGGGCATTCTTTCAATATGTATTTCATAACTTTCAACTCTGAGAATTCAGGAGAGAAATTAGAAGTAGAAGATAAATCCAGGATGTCCAAGTTGGAGTTTTGGGAAAACGAGTATATAATAGGAAGGAAGTTATTTGTAAACATACATGAAAATTTCCCAGAACTGAATATCCTGTCTGCAGATTGAAAACTCTGGTAGCATTTAACACGGTGAGTGAAATGACACCCACAGCAAGGCACGTGGTGGTGGCATTTTGTGGTTTGTATGTTTGAAGCTGTGTTTAAATATCACATAGAATATGATTTGAACTTCAATATACAGTCCAGGCAATAAGTATTGTGGCTGAGATGGAGGAGAAGTTGATACTGTTTGGCTGCATCAAGATACATTCAGGAGTGCTGGGCGCAGTGGCTCACACCTATAATCCCGACACTTGAGGAGGTCAAGGCAGGCGGATCCCTTGAGCCCAGGAGTTCGAGACAAGCCTGGGCATCATGGTGAAATCTTGTCTCTACAAAAAAAAAAAAAAAATTAGTGTGCATCTGCCATTCCAGCTACTCGGGAGGCTGAGGTGGGAAGATCACTTGAGCCCGGGAGGTGGAGGTTGCAGTGAGCTGAGATCACACCACTGCACTACAGCAGCCCGGGTGATAGAACAAGACCCTGCCAAAAAAATATAAAAAATGTATCCAGGAAGGCTTCATGGAGATGAAACTTCATCTGGTTTGTAAAAGATGGACAGACAGCAGGGCTGGAATCTCTCAGGGGCAGGAAACACTGAGCTTGTAATGACCCCCGAGGTGTGTGGGTGACTGTGCCCTGGGTCAGGTGATGGGGCTGGCCCAATACTCAAGATAAGGGCTGACGTACAGAAGGTATCCCTATTGTGAAGGCTGGTTGAGCCACCCTCTGCTCCTAATCTGAGACATCCCATGGAGAAAACAATGGCCTCACTGTATTCACCTAAGCCCAATCACAGCCAAGAGGCTTGAGCAGCTGAGGCCCACCAGGTAAAGATCGAAAGACCAATAAGCAGGTAAAGGTAGGGACACATCCTGCTTCCTCCAGGGAACTGAAGGGTGGAGGGTCCTGCTGTATAGGTCCCCTTGTGGGGATTCACCAAGCCCTCCCTGTGTTCCCCATAGAGTCGGAATCATGGCACCAGAAGGGACCTTAGAGCCACCCAACTTCTGAGCAAAGGCCAGAGGGAGGTGGGATTGGCCCAAGGTCCCGCTGCTCATTGGTGACAGGGCTGGGTTTAGAACCCATGTTTCTAGACCCTCACTCCCTTTGTCCTCATGGGGAGGGGCAGCCTTTCAGGAATAAACACTCAAAGACATTCATCTGCAGGTCATCTGCACTCAGCTCGGGGGCATCGCAGGGCGTCCGGTTGTGGGAAAGGGGACAGTGGGCCAGAGGGGAGGGGTTGCCATTTGCAGTTTGACTCAGGATCTGCATTTTGAGCTCCTGTTGAAGATGGAATTGCTCAGGGTCATTACGCATGCTCTCCAAATGTTCACATCTCCCTGTTCTGTATTTTCTGGGTCAGGGTCCTCAGGACTGTCCCCTGCCTGAGGGCCCTGAGCAGCCCTGGGGGCAGACGCCTCCCAGAGAGACACAGAGCCAGGTTCTGTTCAGAAACGCCTTGGGCTTCCAGTTTTGCATAAAGTTTGCTGGTAAGTGAGGCTGGCAGCACTTCTGAGGCTGGAGTCAGCTCCGTGGAGGCAGGGCCCTCATCTTATTCATCCCACCTCCCCTCAGAGGCTGGCACAGTGCTTAATACACAGAATGGGCCAAATACCCTTGTGGAGAGTAGCCGGCTCTTATGGGTTAAGTTGTGTCCCCCAAAAGATGCCAAAGTCTTAACCCCCCATATCTGTGAGTGTGACCTTATTTGGAAACAGGATCTGTGTAGATGATTAAGATAAGTTGTGCTAATCCAATATGGCTGTGCCCTTTTAAAGAAGGGAAATTTGGACACAGAGACAGACAGGCACACAGGGAGAACGCCATGCCATGTGCAGATTGAGTGAGTGAAGCCTCTGGAAGCTGGGAGGGAGGCCTGGGACCGAGCCTTCCCTAGTGCCCTCAGAGGGGGACTAGCCCTGCCGACACTATGGTCTCCAACTTCTGGCCTCCAGAACCAGGAGACCATACATCTCTTTTGTTCAAGCCAGTAGGAAGCCCCAGGAAACCAATGTATGGCCCAAAACACTGCCTGGTTTCCGCCTCCTGCTTGCCAGGCTGGTCTGTCTGTCTCCCGGCCTGCTGTGGATGTTTGCAGCCCAGCTGCCAGGGAGCAACATCAGTGAGACTGGGGTCATGGGTCCTGTGCCCCATGGACTGCATGTGGGACCCAAGCACTCAGCAGCCTCCCCAACCCATGTGCCTCAGCAAGGGGAACAGCTGGTGGAAGAGAGCGCCCTGGCCAGGGTCGCGGAGGACTGGGCCTCTATCTAGTTCCATTATGAGGCAGGGGTCCCTCCATCCTGCTTTGGCTCTGTGACCCAGTCTCTGACCACTTTCTTATTTAAGGAAAGACAAATAATTCTTGTGCTCCACAAGTCCTTGCCAATTTAATGTCATTTTCATTTGCAGCCTTTTAGGCTATTTAATTTGTAAATTTCCCTCAATAATTCCAGCAACATTATTTTCAGAGCCCTGATTGCAGCATTTACATTTTTTAGTATTCCATGAACCGCACTCTGAGATGTGTGGCTGCAGCCATCATCAGGGTACAGCCAGAAAGCACCCCAAGGGTGGGCGCCCTCCCATCCTGCCTGCAGGCGGTGGCTTGCTGGCATCTGTGGGAACTGCCCGTGTCCATGTGCTGAGAGGAATGACCTGCAGGAATGGGTCCCTCTGCACCCGCTTCCAGGACTGCCCGCCAGCGTGCAATTCCCCATCTGCTGCTAAGACCTTCCTGGATCAATATCCCTCATCTGGGTCATCCAGGGAAGCTTTTGCACGTGGTTTCACACTTCTCAATTCCAAGCCCTGAGGGGCTGGTTATTCTCCTTTCTCCCCACCCCACCCTACCCCAGGTTCATTCCCAGCGCTCTGGTCTGCTCTGTGTCTCAGGGCTGGCCCAGCGGGTGCTCAGGGTGAAAGGAGAGGGGCCGTGTCTCCGAAGCTCCCTCCCACCTCCTTGCCAATCGTGGGCAGCAGCCACGTTCCTCAGGCCACTGTCCCTGTTTTGTGATCTAGCCTCAGCAGCCACCTCCTTTATTGTTCGAGGGGGCTGGAACTGGCCCTGCAGCAGCCTCTGGAAACCTCAAAGCTACATCATAACCAAGCAAGTCTGTGGAGTCCCCACCTCCTTTGGCCACTAGCATCTGGCCTGTGGTCTGGGAGGGTGCAACTCACAGATGGAGCTTTGACATGTGTGGGTCCTGCCACAGCCAGGGAGGCTAAAAGAGTGAGTGTCTGGCATTTCCTGCTTGTACAGTGGGAGGTGATTTATGCCTGGTAAGAGGGTTTCCCTAGATCCATGAAGACTGAAGATATGTGATGATAGATGAAGAACTTCCGGTGTTGGAAGCCTTAGTGAGTGCCAAGGAAGTTCCGTGTAGCCCAGAAAAACTGAAAAACCATCATAAGTTCTGACTTGTCTGTAGCAGACCGTGTTGGAAGTGCCAACTGCATATCCCTTCAGCAGAGTAGACAGGGCACATCTTTTCTTTTTTTATTATTTTGAGGCAGGGTCTCACTCTGTCACCCAGGCTGGAGTGCAGTGGCATGATCATATCTCACTGCAACCTCGACTTCCCGGACTCAAGTGATCCTCCCACCTCAGCCTCCCTAGTAGCTGGGACTACAGGCATGCACCACCATGTCTGGCTAATTTAATTTATTTATTTATTTATTTATTTATTTATTTATTTATTTATTTATTTTGTAGAGACAGAGTCTCACTATATTGCCCAGGCTTCTTTTTTGATGGGAATGGTATATTTGATAAAACTTGAATACCACCTTTTAGCTACAATGTTAAAAAATTGTTTTGCAACATTGTAATAAAACCAGTGAGAAACTGTAGACTCTAGATTTGGTTGTACAAGATACCTTCTTTTGTCATCAATTTGAAATTAATGAAATCTGGAACAAAAGTAATAAAGATGACAGATAAAATTGATAGAGGTTATTTGGACATTGAGAAGCAAATTGTAACAAAACCCTTTCCAATCACATAAAAAGCAGCAATTGATTCAGGAGAAATGATACATTTTGAATAGAAACAATGAATAAGCTTTTGGGTTCTTTGATAAACCAATGAGTGAATCCTAAGAACATACAGGAAAAGGATGGAACTTCTTTACAATTTGACATGAAATGCTGACATTGAGGCAACAGTGTTTGTAGAGCACCATGTCACAGAGGACACCCTGCCATGCATTCAAAGGGTTTTTAAGAGTAGCCACTAAGCACAAAACCCATGAAATGCCCTGGAATCTTAAAACTCATATATGAAACTTGACAGGTATTTTCCCAGATTTGAAAATAATATTTCAGATATACAATCATTATGACCAACAGAGGGCAGTAAAGCTGTACTAGCCAGGTTCCAATCAGGAGACAGAAACCACACGATAATTTGTACAAGGAATGTTTCCCATAGATAATTAACTTTAGGCCAGGCACAGTGGCTCACGCTTGTAATCCCAGCACTCCACCCAGCCGAGCCTGGTGGATCACTTGAGGTCAGGAGTTCGAGACCAGCCTGGCTAACCCATCTCTACTAAAAATACAAAAAGTAGCCAGGCATGGTGGTGCATGCCTGTAGTCCCAGCTACCTGGGAGGCTGGGACATGGTAATCGCTTGAACCCGGGAGGCGGAGGTTGCAGTGAGCCGAGATCGTGCCACTGCATTTCAGCCTGGGCAACAGAATGAAATTCAGTCAAAAAAAAAAAAAAAGAAAAAAGAAAAAAGAATTGACTTTAACAGGGGATTGGAGTAATAAGGCCTGGCTAGAAAGAAGTTAAGAGAACTCTTGAAAAATGCAGGAATGGCAGATAGAGGCACAACCATCACTCTTAGGGCTGAGATAAAGCACCCCAGAAGAAGGTCCCTGCCACGGCTGAGATCCAGACCTGATGGGAGAGATCGTGGCAGAGAAGTCACTGAGGTGCCAGGTTGGCAGAAGCAGCTGGAAATCTGCTCTCTGGGGTATCAGAGGAATCACCCACAGTGACACGTCATGTCTCAGAACAGTCTGCAAAGCCACAGGAGAAAATGCAGGGGGAAGCAATTCCCAGGACAGTGCCCTAGTGGCCACAAACTCCTGCAAAGCTGCCCAGGGGGCTTCCAGAGAAAGCTACTGGTGCCTGGGAATTGGAGTTGGTGCTGCAGAAGCCACACATGCTGCTGGAGCTGCCAGACACTGCAGAAGCCGGGTGCCTTGCAGGAGCAGGTGTAGAGAAACCTCATGGGCAGCAGGAGCCTCCCAAGAGGAGTGCACCAGACAGTGAAGAGAAACCCCTTTCTCCTCCCGTGTCTCTTCAGCGCCCTCTACTGACAAAGCTTGACATGCAGCTGCAGGCAAAGGGCAACTAATTACAAGGCTCAGCTCAATTCTAGGAGGTCAGGCAATGAGGGACGTATTAGGAGCTGAGATACAATAAGTTGACAACTGGCACAGAAGCTAAAAGAAACTTTTCTAAATTAATAAATCGCTAAATTTTAACCCACCATGCTAGAGCAAAGATCGTCTTTCTAATTTCTCTGATAAGATTGTTGTCATTTAAAGAGTCAATTAAAGAGCCTATAGCCAAAAAATGAAAAAAAATTATAGATATGTGTCAGACAGTTAATTAATAAAAATATTTTATTTTTCTGGATTTTGTAATGTTTGTGGTATTTTTTACTTTTTAAAATTTATAACTTTTTTCTCATTCTTAGTAATATTTATTTTCATTCCTAATATTGTATTTGTGGCCCAGTCTTGGCTCACTGCAACCTCCGCTTCCTGGGTTCAAGTGATTCTCCTGCCTCGGCCTCCCAAAGTGCTGGGATTACAGGTGTGAGCCACTGCACCCGGCCAGTATTGTGTATTTAAACATAATGAAACATGGAAAAGGTACAGTAAATGTACGGTATAATCGTATGGGTCCCATCATCTTATGGGACCACCGTCATGTATGCCGTCTGTCATTGGCCAGTATCATTATGCAGCACATGACTGTGTATTTGGGAGTGGAATATGCCAGCATTCCATTTAGGGGGGTTCAAGACGTTCGTTGTGGCATGACTTGGAGGGCATCTCCTGCTTCCTCTATTAGATGATAACCTCCTTGAAGGGCAGAGCTAGAATTAACGCTGGGGCGGGGGGGCTCAGAGGCATCATCTAGTCCAATCCCCTTGTGTAGGTGGGGAAACTGAGGCCCATAGCGAGGCAGACCCCTGAGACCCTGAGAGGCAAGACCATGTTGGTGTCACGTTAGAGTCCAGGGCTCTTTCTAGTCTTCCACAGGGTGTGTGTGAGTGTGAGAGTGTGAGTGAGTGTGTCAGTGTGTGGGGGCTATGTGTGTTTGTGAGTGTCTGACTGTTGGGGAGTGGTGTGTGAGTGCATGTGTGAGTATGGGTGTGTGTGGATATGAGTGTGTGAATGTGTGTGAGAGTTTGTGAATGTGTGTGGGTGAGTGTGTCTCTGTGTGTATGAATGTGTGGGGGTGGTGTGTGTGTGCGAGTGTGAGGAGTGATGTGAGTGCGTGTGTATATATGTGTGAATGTGTGTGTTTGTGTGAGTGTGGATGTGTGTGGGGTGTGAGTGTGAGGGAGTGGTGTGTGTGCGTGTGTGTGAATGTGTGAGTGTGGATGTCTGGGGGTGTGTGTGAGAGTGTGAGGGAGTGGAGTGTCAGTGCATGTGTGTGGGTGTGTGAATGTATGAGTGTGTGAAGGTGTGTGTGGCTGTGAGTGTGGGGGAGTAGTGTGACTGCATGTATATGGGTGTGTGGGTGTGTATAAATGAACGTATTTGTGAGTGTGGGTGTGGATATGTGTGAGTGTGGGTTGTGGGGATGTGTGTGTGTGAGTGTAGAGGAGTGTGGAGTGGTATGTCAGTGCATGTATGTGGGTGTATATGAGTGTGTGAAGGTATGTGTTACTGAGTTTGTGTGTGAGTGGGTGGGAGAGGTGTGAGTGAATGTGTATGGGTGTGTGTGGGTGTGTATGAGTGAATGCGTGTGTGTGAGGGTGGGTGTGAGTGATGTAGGGGAAGTGGTGTGTGAGCACGTGTATGGGTATGTGTGGGTGTGTATGAGTGAATGTGTATTTGTGAGTGTGTGTGGTGTAGGAGTGGTGTTTGAGTGCATGTGTATGGGTGTGTGTGGTTGTGTATGAGCATGTGTGAGTTCGTGTGTGTGGGAGTGAGTTTGGGATGTGTGGGGAGGGTGTGAGAGTGTGAGTGTGGGGGAGTTGTGTGGGGGAGTAGTGTGTGTGCATGTGTATGGGTGTTTGGTGGGTGTGTATGAGTGAGTGTATTTATGTGTGTGATGTGGGGGAGTGGTGTGTGAGTGCATGTGTATGGGTGTGTGGTTGTGTATGAGTGTGTGTGAGTTCGTGTGTGTGTGGGGTGTGTGTGTGAGAGTGTGTGTGAGTGTGGGGGAGTGGTGTATGTGTATGTGTATGGGTGTTTGGTGTGTGTGAGTGAATGTGTATTTGTGAGTGTGTGTGTGGTGTAGGGGGAGTAGTGTATGACTGCATGTGTATGAGTGTGTTTGGTTGTGTATGAGTTCATGTGCGTGAGTGTGGGTGTGTGCGTGACTGTGGGTATGAGTGTGTGTGTTTGTAAGTGTGAGTGTGGGTGTGAGATGGAAAGGGGGGCAGGGGTGGAGAGAGATGAGGCAGCCTGAGCCCCGGGACGCTCCCCACCCGTTGACCCAGGAGGCTGAGTCAGGCGCCAGTCCCCACTGCCCCGGCCGCCTCCCAGTTCTTGGCACAGGAAAGCTTGTGCTGGGAGCAGAGCCACAGAGGCTGTTCTTAGAAAATGGCATTGGTTGGGGACATGTAACCAAAGGCTGGAGAACTCGCTCCTTTTCAGCAGTTAGGAGAGGGGCTCTCAGATACTCTAACCCCAGCGCATCTTACCAAGGTCCTGACGGTCTCAGCAGCAGGCTGGGCCAGGGTCCCGACGAAAGCCTTAAAATAATTCATGGGTCAAAAGCATGAACTGAAAAAATGTTAATATTCTTCGTAGTCCGTTAAATTGTACCAGTTTATATCCTCACCAGCAAGGTATGAAGACATGTATTTCCCGGTTCCTCCACCCATGGCAGCCTTGGATATTATCAGATATTTAAACCTATCCCAGCTTAGGAGCAGGCAAATGATTTCTTGTGGTTCATTGTGTTTCTTTAATTACTGGAGGGGATAAACCTCTTTGTAAACGTTTGTGGGTCACTTTAATTTTTTGGTGAATTTCTGTGGTCGTTAATTCGTGTTGGGTTCCTCTTTTGTTTAGGAACTTCTTCACACTTCTTAGAGAGAGATACAGAGGGCTTTTAGAAATGGGTGCCTGGCCCATAGTGGGTGCTCAGTAGACGTCCGTCAAGTTAATGAATGACCATGGAGGATCTGGCTTGATGAGGGGTGCAGTGTACTATTCTCTCAAGGTTCTGGGCTTAGAGGGCCAATATGGTCAAATTTTATAGTGACAGGCCGGGCATGGTGGCCCACGCCTGTAATCCCAGAACTTTGGGAGGCCGAGGCGGGCTGATCATTTGAGGTCAGGAGTTCGAGACCAGCCTGGCCAACATGGTGAAAACCCGTCTCTACTAAAAATACAAGAATTAGTGGCGCATGCATGTAGTCCCAGCTACCTGGGAGGCTGACGCAGGAGAATCGCTTGAACCCTGGAGGCAGAGGTTGCAATGAGCCGAGATCGCGCCACTGCGCTCCAGCTTGGGGGCAGAGAGAAACTCCGTTTCAAAAACCAAAAAAAAAAAAAAAATTACAGTGACGATTCCAGGAAACACACCAAGAAGGAAGGGGTTGGCTTGCAGAACGTGGTGCTTTTAATTCTTGCTAGGCAGGTCTCCGGGGCTGTGATCTAACACAAATTCTGAGTCTCACCACCAGAGGGAGCCCTAGACTCAGGAAGATCCCGAGGCGGGTGGGGTACTGCTCAATTTTTAACAGCTGTGTCCTCAGAGTTTTCCATTTTGCACCTAAAAATTTTCCTCCAGGTTTAATGGCTGAAAAGCATGCAACTTCCAGCTTATTAAAAATATTAATATTTTGAAAATAAAACATGTGACTCTTGGCTGTGTGTTCAGTGATATGCAGGCATCGTATCACTCTGGCACCCACCATTTAAACATACGTAAATGAGTTCTTTAACCATTCTTTCCATCCACCTCCCTCATAAACTTTTATCCTAATATATGTTATGTGTGAAAGTCATATGGCTTATACCTCTCATACTTCTCAGCAATGAAAATATGTTTATACATTGAAATTGAAGGAAGCGGTACCTTTGTGATCAGGTCTGTAATTATGGAAACGTTACCTTCTGCTTACAGTTATCATCACCATTATGGATATTTGATTAAAACAGAATAAATATGTGACAAACTAATTAACAATTGTTAAACATAAAAAGTACGTTTTTATTGGAAATGCATCTCTCAATGAGGTGAATGAAGTTGTTTTTATTTCCTAGCTTACGTATCTCTGTGCTAGAGTAAGACGCATTATAAACATCGATTCTAGTTCTTCGTTTTCTTTATTATTATAGATGTTGATGGTGAGACTTTTTTTTTCTGAGACAGAGTCTCAAAGAAAAAAAAATCAATGCTTCCTGCACTTTTGCTAATTTCACTCCAGTTTGTCGTCCAGGCTGGAGTGCAGTGGTGCAATCTCAACTCATTGCAGCCTCTTCCTCCTGGGTTCAAGTGATTCTGTGCCTCGGCTTCCCAAGTAGCTGGGATTACAGGTAAGTCTGTCTTCTAGCTAATACAAACTTAAATGACCAGTAATAGGGTACGATTGACTAATCTATGGTTATGTCCACGTGGGGAGATATGAAGTAGCTACTGAAGTTATATTAATGAAGGTATGAAATAACATAAAAGATGCTTAAGGCCGGACACAGTGGCTCATGCCTTGTAATTCCAGCACTTTGGGAGACCAAAGTGGGCGGATCACTTGAGGTCAGGAGTTTGAGACCAGCCTGGCCAACATGGTGAAACCCCGTCTCTACTAAAAATACAAAAAATTAGCTGGGTGTGGTGGCGGGCGCCTGTAATCCCAGCTACTCGGAGGCTGAGTCAGGAGAATAGCTTGAACCCGGGAGGCGGAGCATGCAGTGAGCCGAGATTTGCCACCGCACTCCAGCCTGGGCAACAGAGTGAGACTCCGTCTCAAAATAAAATAAAATAAAATAAAATAAAATAAAATAAAATAAAATAAAATAAAATAAAATAAAATAAAATAAAATAAAATAAAATAAAATAAAATAAAATAAAATAAAATAAAATAAAATAAAATAAAATAAAATAAAATAAAATAAAATAAAATATGCTTAGGATACATTAATTAAAAAAATAGGTTAAAAATTTGCACACCTGGGATGATGACTGTAAGAAAAGCTCTTATTAGAGAGAAAACTCTGGAAAACTTTAACATGTTATAATGGTTCTATTTTAGGTAAGGAAAATTACTTAAAATATAATTTTCTCATTTTCTTCTCTCATTTTATTTTATTATTTGAAAACAATTTTAATAATGAAAAAGTAAGAAAAATGTATCAAATAGCATTCTCAAGATATTCAGCAAATCTTCTCTTGGGCCAGCCTTGCATCCAGGTGGTATAGGGATCTGCTGGTAATCCAGGCATCGGCCAGTGGAGTGGGGAAGGAAGGAAAGACGCCCCTCTTTCCCAGCTCCCACCAAAGCTCCCTTACAAGCCGTCCTGATGACAGCAATTCTGTCCCTAACACGGACTCCTCTGTACTACTCCTTTGGGGGTACCCCACTAAAAATCGGCTACATGAGGATAAATCACTTAGACGCTGCAGCAGCGTGGTCATTAGTGGCTTCAAGATGAGCGCACGGGTGGGGGTAAGGAGGTCGGATGGGAGGATGGGGGAATGTGCACACAAGAGCGAGGTCATCTGAAGCTCTGTCTAAAGCTTTGTCTGGAGTGGGTCCTTGTTGATGCAGCCTGGTTGCCTACTGAGCGCCCATTCTCTTCTTCCTTGCTCACAGATTACCTTTTTCTTTTTTTTCCTGTAGTGGGTAGGCAATGATTTCCCAAGATCCCTTGCAATTAGGAGTGTCTATGTGGCATTTTTCTAGGCAGTCAGGTGTGAGGGAGTCTAAGGGATGGGGATTCTGGACGAGCTACTACTATTTGCCTGACAAAAATGGGCAGACTTGGTGGGCAAGTGGTTTCCATTCTTTGCCCTCCCCGCTTCCTCTGGTCTGAACCACAAGCACGATGCCTGGATGCGCAGTTGCTATCTGTTGTCCATGGCACAGAAGCATTGAAAGACAAATTTCAGGGAAAAAAGTAAAACCATGACTCTTCTTCAGGTTAAAAATGAACACTGTTAAAGGTTTTATTTAATTCATGTGGAAACTAGGCAGATGATATAACCATTTCAAAAGAGGAGTCAAGGCTGGGCATAGTGGCTCACACCTATAATCCTAGCCCTTTGGGAAGCTGAGATGGGTGGATTGCTTGAGCTCCGGAGTTCAAGACCAGCCTGGGAAATTTGGCGAAACCCTGTCTTGACCAAAAAATACAAAAAAAAAAAAAAAAAAAAAAAAGCCAGGCATGGTGGCCTGCACCTGTGGTCTCAGCTACTCAGAGGCTAAGGCATGAGAATCACCTGAGCCCAGGAGATGGCGGTTGCAGTGAGCAAGATCACACCACTGCACTCCAGCTTGAGTGAGAGAGTGAGACCGTGTCTCAAAAAACAAAAACAAAAAACAAACAGAGAGGAGTCAAGAAGCACAAATTCATGTGGAGTCATGTGGTGTGAAGGAATGTTGAAATGAGTGGCAGGTAGAGGGTAAGCCTATTTTTCCTACCGTTGGTTACAGAATTGTGAAACAGCTGCCTGGAATCAGAATGTGACTGTGATGCAGGTGGAAGGCCATGCTGTCCACCGTGCATGGTTTTCCCTGCAGCACACATGCTTTCTCCAGAGGGACTGCACACCTCTGGGAAAGAAACAAAAACAAACAAACAAAAAAACCTGTATTTTCTGAAATGATAGTTGTTAGGTTTTGCTAAATGCACCTGACCACCACCTTAATTGCTTGAGCTGAATGTAACATGATTCAGTTATTGATGACTAGCCTTCAGACACTGCAGGGCATTAAAAAAAATTTATGGGAGGCCGTCAGTTTGGACTGAACTTCTGTGCTAGACCCCAACAGACAAGCAAAATGGAGTCACTCATGCTAAAGTTCCACATCACCAAACACAAACTAAGTTGTTTATCTGACCCTCTAAGAAATCAGAAGAGAGACATGAAACTAAATCCCTGAAAGGGCTAGGTTAGCTCTCAGGATAAGGAAGTTTCCTTGGTTTTAACCCTATAAGGAAAGGACAGTAGTTCTCCTTTATCCATGTTTCACTTTCCAAGGTTTTAGTTACCCACATTCTAAAAACAGGTGAGTACAGTTGAGTAAGATATAAGGTATTTTGAGAGAGAGAGGGAGCACATTCACATAACTTTTATTACAGTATATTGTTATACAGCACAAATAAACCTATGATCTGGTCCCTATGTCCTTATGTCTAGGTGAAGAAACTAGACACGTATGCATAAAATATAAGGGCAATTTGTGAATGTTGTAAGAACGAGGGTGCAGCCCAGGTGTTGAGCACAGGTTCTGGGCAGAGCTTTGAGAGACGGTTAGTGAGGCCTTTTGTAGGTGGACAGGGAAGGGAAGAGTGACAGAATATGTTACTGAAATGCCAGGGGTTTGGTCTAGGTCAGGGGTGTCCAAGGGAAAACATACAGTCATGGGTTCTTAGTTTTTTTTCTGGTTGGGCCAGTAAAGCCCCTTCCTCATCCCTGGAGACAGAAACTAAAAACCATGGCTTCAGGCTGTTAAAGGCCTAAAACAAAACAAAATAGAACAACAACAGCAACAACAACAACTAAATAAAGTGGGTTGTACAAGCTTGGTCTACATCCTGCTGCTCACTGCACAGAAAGCCAATCACTGAGACAACAGGTATTGCCAAAGAAGAAGGCTTTAATTAGGTGCTATAGCCGAGGAGATGGGCAATCAGTCTCAAATCCATTCCCCTGACCAACTGAAATAGGGGATTTATATAGCAGGAAAAAGATGTAACTACATGCAAGAAAACAGGAATTAAGAAATGATAAGGAAGGGGGAATCCATCAACAGGCAGCAGGTGGTCTGTTAGGCAAACACGACAGGTTAGAGGTCTGGCATCTCATTGTCCAGAGGTGGGGATCTGGTAAGTTTTGGTTTGTTGACACTGTCCAGGAGGCCTGGTGGTTGGTTTCCTGAGAAAGGAACTCAGATAAGACAACTGTAACTTTCTTAAATTTTAAGACTGGGAGGGTCAACTTGTATGCTTATTTAAAAGAGACCAAAAACATCAGTTATATGGGAAAATTGGACTGGTTTCAAATACATCTCTGACCCCAGAAGGTCTGCCCAGATGAGGCTGTTGGCCCCATCCTTTCCAAACCCCAAAGCCCATCCCTGGACCAGCTCTAGCACCATCACATGTGGAGCTTGAAGGTACAGGTCCTAAACACACTGCTTCAACAGGGAGGTGGGCCACCTGGGTGAGTTCCTTTCTGCTCTGCCTCAACAGAGATAATAATGACCCTACCTGTGTGCATTGTTGTAAGCATTCAGTGAGATTGCAAATGGAAAGTGCTCAGTAGCTGCTTGCTGCCTATCATTATTATCCATTTTTCCTGATCGCCTCCTCCACCCAAGAAATGTTCTTTGCATAGCTTCACTTATACTAATTAACTAGTCCTACTTTTGTGAGATTTTGAAGAGTAGGGTTGTAGGATCCTGGATATTGCTTGCCCAGTTTGTGAGAGTCAATTCCAGGATGACGAGCTTAGCCATGAGATGCATGGAGAAGCCAGATGCAGGGCATATAATTGAGGGCAGTGATAGGCCATCTGGAGTGGCCACTGTCATCATGCTGGCCACTGCAGGGAGGGTTTGGGGAGGAAACAGACATTCTCCCTGCAGCCTGCTGCCCTAGGGGCCACCATGATGGGGCTGGGCCAGGTTGCTCCTGAGCAGGGGAGCAGCGCAGTTGGGCAGAGAGGACCCTTGAGGTGGAGCTGGCCCAGGGCAGTGCTGTACTTGCACATGGAACATAGGGGCTGGGCCCAGTGTGCAGAGCTGGGGCCACACTTCGGGGGCCTGGGGCAAGAAGTGAGAATGGCACCCACTTCAGGGACCTGGCCCACTCCATCAAAGGTGCTGGGTTCCTGTGCCTTAGGAGGAAGCTCTGTGCAGGGCTGCCTGGGGCTGCTTCCCTGGGATCTACCCCATGTTGGGGTGAGCGCTGAGCCTGACGCTCCTGATAGCCAGGCCTGGGGCCCATGATCCACTCCACCCTGGGCCTCCTCTGAGCACCGGAGAAACAGGGGAAGCTCATGGCAGTGTTGCCCCTGCTCCAGACACTGGCCTGGGCCCAGTGAGGACCTGGATCCCCAGCCCCAGGATTCAAGGAGCTGGCAGGAGCCAGGAGCAGGCAGCAGTCCTGCCCTCCTGGGCACAGCTGCAGCCACCCAAGTTGGGGCTGTGGACCCAGGCCTCCATGTGCTCTTGGGGCCTGGGAAGGCCCCTCTGACCCTTGCAGGCTCAGAAGTTCCTGCTCCCACTGCCTGTATTCTACCTGCTGTCAGCACCTGCTTCAATCTTGGAGCAATGTGGGGCCAAGCCCGGGCACTGTCACAGCCTGGCTGGGGTTCTTGGGGCACCACTGACATGCCAGCCCCCCAAGCTGCCTCAGCTCCCTCTGGACTTTGGGCACCAAGAAGCATTGCTGTGGGGAAGCCAAGGTGGGGATTGAGGGAGGTTTGGTACTAGCCTGCAGGTGTCCCTTGGCATGAACAGCCTGGGCTCCATGGACAGCAGCAGGGGGCAGACAGGCTCCTGGGTGGAAGGCGGCAGGTCTCCAGTGAGGCCCCACCTTCAGGCCAGGGAGGGTCTGAAGGCTGGGGACTGGGCTGCCAGTCCCCATGGACTGGAGTGGGGGCTGTTGTGCCTTTTCTGGGCCCACTCATGGCCGCCCATGGACCAATTGGCATGCATTTCCTCCCCTCTGAGGCTCATAAAAGCCCTGGGCTCAGCTAGAGCAGAGCAGAGGGCAGAAAAATGTCAGGACGACCAGCTGCAGAGAGGAGCTACCCTCCCCAGGGCCTCCTCTCTGCTGAGACTCAAGCAGATGTTGGGATGACCAGCTGCAAAGAGGAGCTACCCACTCCAGGGCCTCCTCTCTGCTGAGACTCAAGCAGATGTTGGGATGACCAGCTGCAGAGAGGAGTAACCCACTCCTTCTCTCTGCTGAGAGCTGGGAAGATGACAGGACAACCTGCCTGCAGAGAGCGGCAACCTACTCCAGAGCCTCCTCTCTGCTGAGAGCTGGGAAGACAATGGGATGACCTACCTGTAGAGAGGAGCAACCCACTCTAGGGCCTCCTCTCTGCTGAGAGCTGCAGAAACGATGGGACAACCTGTCTGCAGAGAGGAGCTTCTCACTCCAGAGTCTCCTCTCTGCTAGGAGCTGAACACTCATTGGGACACCCTGGCTGTGGAAAGGAGCTGCCCACTGTGGGAGGCTGGGCTGTTCTATTGCTCAATAAAGCTCCTCTCATTTTGCTTACCCTCCACTTGTTGGTGTACCTCATTCTTCTGGTCACAGGACAAGTACTTAGGACCCATTGTATGGCAGGGCTAAAAGAGCTCTAACACAAACAAGACTGAAATATGCCCCTTGCTCGCCACATTGTGGGCGAAAAGGAGAGAAGAGCTGCGGACCTTCAGGGAGCCCAGACCTGTGACTCCCTCTTTGGGGCCCTGTGGTTCCTGGCATCTCCAAGCTTCTAGGTGCCACTTCATTCCCCAGTGCCAGCCAGGGAAGCTGCTTACAGGGCCCCTGGTCCAGCTGCAGCTTTGCAGAGAGCCAGTGCCCATGCCAGCGCCTGGAGCTGCCCATCCTGTGGCAGCAGCCAGCATATCTGACTGTGCAGTGTCCGGACCCCATACTCACTCATACACCCCTTGCCGCTCCACACCTGACTTGCAGTCTTCTTGGAGGCATGGGATCCAGGCTGCTGGCATGAGCTGAGTGCAGCCGGTCAGGCCGAGTGGGCAGAAAGAGCCCCGTGGGCTTGAGCAAAACTCAGCCAAAGGTGCCATGAGCCACAGGTTTCCGACCAGAAAAGCGACACCTCAAGGATCCCATACACGATCAAGAGCTTATGGAATGAACCCAGGTGTGAAATGACAAACTGGATTTGACTGTAGACAGAGCAAAAAGAGAGAGAGCAAAACACCAAGAACTGTGCAATGGAAACGTGGTCAGGACTTCAGGGTTGATACATGTAGAGGATGAATAGGGGAACTGGTTCAGTGCAACGCAACTGATAATAGTGGGCCCTGGATACCGGAGAAGTCTGAAGTGCCCTCTGCTTTCTAAGGGACATGTTAATCAGCATATGTTCAGTGGAGTTTCAGTTATTAAGTGTAACTTATCTCCTTTCTTTGAAAATTGCTAGGCCTTGTGTACTGAAGAGGAGGAGGCTTTACTGAGGGAATGACAAGGTGCTCCCTCAAGCAGATCCAATTCTATTTCCAAAATATGTTGTGCAAACTCAATAGAAATGAAAATATTACTAATTATCTAGAAATTTTCCATCCCACACTCACCATTACCTCCCCCAGTCCCTGGCACCACTAATCTACTTTCTGTTTCTATGGATTTGCCTAGCCTGAACATTGCATAAGAATGGAATTATATAAAATGTGGTCTCTTTTGGTTGGCTTCTTCTACTGTTTTAAAGGTTAATTCATGTTGTAATGTGTCAGTACTTCATACCTTTTTATTGCCAAACAATATTCCATTGTATGGAAAAGAATAATGGAGTAATATTCCATTATATGGAATTTCAGTGGAGTAATATTCCATTACATGGAATATTATTGCATTCTATTAATCAGTTAATGAGCATTTGGATAGTTTTCACTTTTTAACTATTATGAATAATGCTGCCGTGAACATTAGTGTATAAGTTTTTGTGTTAGAACATAAGTTTTCAATTCTCTGGGGCATATGACTACGAGTGGAATTGGTGGGTCATATGGTAACTCTAAGTTTAACCTTTGGAAGAAACGCCAAACTGTTTTTCATAGCAGCTGTATCATTTTGTTCTTACCAGCAATGTTTAAGGATTCTGATTTCTCCAAATTTTCACCTACGCCTTTCCTTTTTATTCTGACCATTCTAAGGAGTGCAAAATGTTATTTCATTGTGATTTTGATTCCCAATTTCTTAATGGCTAATGATGTTGAGCATCTTTTTATGTGCTTGTTGGCCATTGTCTTCTATAGAGAAATGTCTATTCAGATCCTTTGAATATTAAAAAAGTTGGGTTGTCTTTTTATTATTTGATCTTCATTTTTATTTTTGAGATGGAGTTTCACTCTTGTCGACCAGGCTGGAGTGCAATGGCACGATCTAAACTCACTGCAACCTCCACTTCCCAGGTTCAAGCAATTCTCCTACTTCAGCCTCCTGAGCAGCTGGGATTACAGGTGCATCCCACCACACCTAGCTAATTTTTGTATTATTAGTAGAGACGGGGTTGCACTATGTTGCCCAGGCTGGTCTCGAACTCCTGACCTCAGGTGATCCACCTGCCTCAGCCTCCCAAAGTGCTGGGATTACAGGCATGAGCCACTGCACCCAGCCTATTTGATCTTTAGAGTTCTTTGTATATTCTGGATCTAAGTCCCTGCTAAGATACATGATTTGCAAATATTTTTTCCCATAGAGCGAATTGTCTTCACATTTTTTTTTGAGACAGGGTCTTGCTCTGTGCCTAGGCTGGAGTGCAGTGGCATAATCATGGCTCACAGCAGCCTCAACCTCCTGGGTTTAAGCAATCCTCCCACTTCAGCCTCCAAGGTAGCTGGGAGTACAGGCATACACCACCACAGCTGGCTAATTTTTGTATTTTTTTGTAGAGATGGGATCTCACTATGTTGCTCAAGCTCGTCTCAAACTCCTGGGCTCAAGTGATCCTCTCACCTCAGCCTCTCAAAGTGTTGGAATCACAGGCATGAGCCACAGCATGCAGCCTGTGTTCTCATTTTCTTGATGATGTCTTTAGAAGCACAAAAGTTTTAAATTTTGATAAAGTCCAACTTGCCTAATTTTTCTTTTGTCATTTGTACTTTTGGTGCCGTAGCTAAGAAACTATTTCCTTACCCAAGATCATGAAGATTTACTCATTTGTTTTCTTCTAAGAGTTTTATAGTTTTAACTCTTTTATTTAGTTCTATAATCCATCTTGAGTTAATTTTTTATATATGATATGAGGTAGGGTTCAACTTCAATCTTTTGCATATGGCTATCCAGGTAGCCCAGAACCATTTGTTGGAAAGATGGTTCTTTCCTTTATTGAACTGTGTTGGCAACTTTGTTGAAAATCAATTGACCATAAATGTGAAGGTTTATTTCAATTCTCTTCCATTTCTCTGTATCCCTATTCTAACACCAGTCTGGTACTGTATTGATTAATGTAGCTTTGCAGTAAATTTTGAACTTGGGAAGTGTCCTTTTTCAAGATTCTTTTGTTCTTTGTTCCTTTACAAGATTGTTCTGACTATTCTGAGTCTGTTGCATTTCCATATGGATTTTAGGATCAGCCTGTCAATTTCTCTGAAAAAGGCAGCTGGTATTTTGATAGAGATTGCATTGCATCTATATGTATTTTCATTCTTCTTACCTCAGCCAAAGCTATGTATAACTGAAATCTCTTACTTAATTCATCTTGCCTACTGTTCCTCTTCTACAAAAAATTTTACAGTTCAGATAAATTGGTTTACTCACATTCCAGCAAATAAAGCTTACATTTTCAATTCAACAACTTCTATTTATTGTCTACCATGTAAGGCACATGAGGTCATTTTGAGGAACAAATTGGAGGATGGAAGGAAGGCAAAGAGATTTTTAAAAAATCCTATTCCCTGGAAATCCAATTCCCTGGAGAAAAGGTTTCCAAATTCCTTTAGAACAAGTCAACTTATTTCAGAGCCAGAGATTATGGGAAAAATTAAACATTGATCATTTTAAGTGTTGGTGAGGATTTGGGGAAATGGAAATTCTTATAACAGTGCAGTTGAAAGTATAATTTAATATACTTTGAATAATTATAAGGTAGAATTAAATCAAAGTTATATGAGGTAATTTTTGTTTTTTAATGAAGTCTTACTCTGTCATCCAGGCTGGTGTGCAGTGGCATGATCTTGGCTCACTGCAAATTCTGTCACCTGGGTTCAAGTGATTCTCCTGCTTCAGCCTCCTGAGTAGCTGGGATTACAGGGATGCACCACCACACCTGGCTAATTTTTGTATTTTTAGTAGAGACGGGGTTTCACCATGTTGGTCAAGCTGGTCTTGAACTCCTGATCTCAAGTGATCTGCCTGCCTCGACCTCCCAAACTGCTGGGATTATGGGCATGAGCCATCACACCCGACAGGAAGTAATTGTTTTTGACTAAGCTCTGCACTAGGCCCCAACAGGACAGACTAAAAATCAATCAAAATGGAGTCACCAAACCAAAAAAATAAAAATTGAGTCACGAAACCCAAACTCAGTTGTTATCTGATCTTCGCAAACCAGCTTAATCTTCAATTGGCATGATAATGTAATTCCCTCTGCCTCAATCTTTATGCAGGAGAAGTAGCCTGAAGTAACCTGATGTTAACTAATCAGCTATTTTCTCTGATCTGTCTCCCTGTCCCTGCCTTATAGGAAAAGTAGCTTTGAAACAACGAATACACTATTTGTTCTTTGCTTCTGCTTTCTGCAGCTCTTCTCTGCCTACAACCTCTTCTCTGCCTATAACATCTTCTGCTCAACTCATTAGAAGATTTATTCTATTTTATGGAATGAAGTGTTGCCTGATTCTAGAATTGCAATAAACCCAATACAATTTTTAAATGT
This sequence comes from Homo sapiens, assembly GCF_000001405.40. Taxonomy (NCBI): domain Eukaryota; kingdom Metazoa; phylum Chordata; class Mammalia; order Primates; family Hominidae; genus Homo; species Homo sapiens. The sequence continues at coordinate 151,326,363 of NC_000007.14, forward strand.
GTTGTAATTTTGTTCTTTGACAGTAGTATGTAGAAAATCTAAAAACTGCATGTCTTGTACTCTAACACTATAGCTTCTATGTATATGAGGGGACTTCAAAAAGTTCCTGGAAAAATGGAATTAAAAGATAAAAATTTTTAAAATAAACTTTATTTCTCAATATCAGCTCCATCAAATTCAAGACACTTTTGTAAGACACTTTTGTAAGCCATTCATTCCATCGTTAAGAACTGAGGGTCCTGGGAATCTAACCATGTCAATGCAGTCTTTTTCACATTATTAAATGAAGAAAGATGGGTGTCCTTTAAAGATCTTAAAGATCTTCCTAAACATTAGGAAACAAAACGAAGTCAGAAGGAGCCAAATCAGTTCTGTAAGGTGAATGCCTAATGATCTCTCACAGAAACTCCACAAAATTGCCCTTGTTTAATAAGAGGAAGGAGCAGGAGCATTGTCGTGGTGAGGAAGGACTCTGGTGAAGGTTTCCTGGGTGCTTTTTTACTAAAGCTTTGGCTAACTTTTTCAAAATACACTCATAATAAAATGATATTGTTCTTTGGCTTTCCAAAAAGTCAACAAGCAAAATGCCTTGAGCATCCAAAAAAACTGTTGCCATGACATTTGCTCTTGACCAGTCTGCTTTTGCTGTGACTGGACCACTTTCACCTCTTGGTAGCCACTGCTTTGATTGTGCTTTGTCTTCAGGATTGTACTGGCAAAGGCATGTTTCATCTCCTGTTACCATCATTCAAAGAAATGCTTCAGAATCTTGATCCTAATTGTTTAAAATTTCCATTGAAAGCTCTGCTCTTGTCTGTAGCTGATCTGGTTGCAATAGTTTTGGCACTGATTGAGTGGAAAGTTTGCTCAACTTTGATTTTTCCATCAGGATTGTGTAAGCTGAATCAATTGAGATGCCCACGGCTGTTGTTTCTGCTGTTATTGTTGGTCCCCTTCAATTAGGGCACAAACAAGATGAACGTTATCCTCATAAATTAAAGTGGATGGTCTGCCACTGCAGGCTTCATCTTCAGTATCATTTGGTACCTTCTTAAAATGAGTTATCCATTTGTAAACTGTTGATTTTCCCATTGTTGCCATAAACTTTTTGTAAAGGTTCAATGATTTCACCATTCTTCCACCCAAGCTTCACTACAAACTTGATGTTTGTTCTTGCTTCAATTTTAGCAGAATTAATGTTGCCCTGATAGGGTCTCTTTTAAAACTGATGTCTTATCCTTCTTAGTGCCTCAAACTAGATCCTGTTCAGATATGTTATAACAAGTTAGTGCAAGTTTATTTTGGTGCAAAAAATTTTTGAAATTTATGTATAGCTTTTTTTGTAATAATACATTGTCCATGAACTTTTTGTAGGCCCCTCATATATACACATTTAGCCAGACAGTGTTTTTCTAACCATAGGTCATGGACTATTAGGCTTTGGACATCCTCCAAGGTGTCTTCTGATGTTAACAAGTGGGTCAGCTAAACAGTCTGACTCACAAGACTGTCATAGCCATATATGGCATTAAATTCACGTAGAAGGATATGGGACAGTGACATGGTCTGAATGTTTGAGTTCTCCCAAAATTCATATGTTGAAGCCTAACCCCCAAGGTGATGATGCTGGGAGGTAGGGCCTTTGGGAGAGACTAGGCAGAGCTCTCATGAATGCGATTAGTGCCCTTATAAAAGAGGCCACAGAGAGACCTCTCACCCCTTCCATCACATGAAGACTCAGAGAGAAGACGCGATCTGTGAATTAGGAAGTGGGCCCTCACCAGACAACAAATCTGCCAATGCCTTGATCTTATACTTCTCAGCTTCCAGAACTGTGATAAATATGTTCCTGTTGTTTATAAATTCCTCAGTTTAAGGTATTTTTGTTATAGCAGCCCAAATTTCCTGAAACAGACCACAGGGCAGTGTGGAGTATTCTTCCACAGTAGCAATCATTACAGCAGTCTATGGAGACATCCACACTGTCCTCCAGGTGTTCTCCTGTATCCTGCACCCCAGGTGATGTGGCACAGGTTCAAGGAAATGAGACTCACATCAGATGGGTTCAAGAGCCGTCCTGACTTGGAAGTCTCATGACCTACACAGGCATAGCTCTTGTAAGAATACCATAGCTTCCTAGTATCTGCGCAGTACATACTTAATTGTAAAAGTTAGTACATGCAGGGACATCTGATGTGTGGAGTCCCCATTAGGTCTCTATAATATACTTATAGTTCCTCCTAGCCCAGGTGCAATTTATCAGCCAGGGGTTATTGAATCATAAACAATGTCCCTTAATAACAAAGCTCACATTCTACCTTCATCAGGTTTCAAAAGGAAAGGTCTAGAAAGTTAAACAATGGTTACATTCTTATGCAGAAGGAGAAAGGGTTGCGTTAACCATTTACTCGCAGACTTGAAATCGGTGGGGTGGTTCTTACTATGGTTAAATGACCCCTCCAAAACTCGTGTTGAAATGCCATTGCCATTGTAACAATATAGAGAGTGGGACTGTTACCAGGTGATTAGGCCACGAGGGCTCTACTCTCATCAATGAGTTAACGTCATTGTTGCGGGAGTGGGTTTGTTATTGCAAGAGTAGGTTGTTATAAGAGTGAGTTCAGCCCACTCCTTCTCTCTCGCACTCACTTGCCCTTCCACCCTCCGTCATGGGACGACACAGCATGAAGGCCCTTGCCAGGTGCCGAGAAGATGCTGGTGGTATTTCTTAGACTTCTTAGGCTCTAGAAACATGAACCAAATCAATCTCTTTTCTCTACAAATTACCCACTCTATGGTATGTTATAAATTATCTAGTCTGTGGTAAACAGACTAAGACAGTTGTCAAGTAGCATTTTTTAAAGAAGATGTAATTGAATAAAAATAATCAGAGTGTACTGCATGTAATAAGGGTAATCACTGTTTTATGGACTTGTAAGTTTTTGTTTCTATTTTTATTTATTTATTGTTTTGAGACAGAGTCTCCTTCTGTTGCCCAGGCTGGAGTGCAGTGGCGTGATCTCGGCTCACTGCAACCTCTGTCTCCTGGGTTCAAGCGGTTCTCCTGCCTCAGCCTCCTGAGTAGCTAGGATTACAGGAGCATGCCACCATGCCTGGCTAATTTTTGTATTTTTAGTAGAGATGGGGTTTCACCATGTTGGCTAGACTGGTCTCAAACTCCTGACCTCAGTGATCTGCCAGCCTTGGCCTCCCAAAGTGCTGGGATTACAGGTGTGATCCACCACACCCAGCCTTCACTTTTTCTAATGGAACAATTTGCATTCATTCTTAATCCTGGGATAGGGAGGGTTATGATGCATGCAGGACATTTGGTATATGATAAAGGTGGCATCTTAAATCAATGGAGAAAAGTTGGTCTATTTGATAAAGAGTGTAGGCTGGGTGCAGTGGCTCATGCTTGTAATCCCAGCACTTTGGGAGGCCAAAGTGGGAAGATGACTTGAGCTTATGAGTTTGAGACCAGTCTGGGCACCATGGTGAAACCCCATCTCTACAAAAAATACAAAAATCAGCTGGGAGTGGTGACTCACACCTGTAATCCCAGCACTTTGGGAGGCTGAGGCGGGTGGATCACTTGAGGTCAGGAGTTTGAAACCAGCCTGGCCAACATGGTGAAACCTCATCTCTACTAAAAATACAAAAATTAGCCAGGCACGGTCAGGCATGCCTGTAGTCCCAGATACTCAGGAGGCTGAAGCACGAGAATCGCTTGAACTCGGAAGGCAGAGGTTGCAGTGAGCCGAGATCACACCACTGCACTCCAGCCTGGGTGACAGAGTGAGACTCCATCTCAAAAAAAAAAAAAAAAAAAAAAAAAAAAGCCAGGTGTGGTGGTATACACCTATAGTCCCAGCTACTCAGGAGGCTGAAATAGAAGGATTGCTTAAGCCCAGCAGGCAGAGGTTGCAGTGAGCTATGATTGTGCCACTGCACTCTTGTCTGGGCAACAGAGTGAGATTCTTTCTCAAAACAACTACAGCAGCAAATAGCAGAGAGACAACTGAATAACTATCTGGGTAAAAGCAAAGTTTGATCCATATCTCACACAGTTCACCAGGATGAATTCCAGATGAATCAAAGATTGTAGTGTAAAAAATGAAACCACTGATAGGGGAGTTAAGAAGACATTATTCAGGCAGATAGTGAGGGTATGGGAGTCCTCAGTAAGGTTTTCCTTTTAATGAAAAACAGCCCTAAAATCATTTTCTTTTCTAACAAAGAGCGGCCTGGAAAATTGAGCTGCAGACATAGACAAGTAAGCTGGAAGCTTGCACAGGTGAATGCTGGCAGTTGTGCCAATAGGGAAAAGGTACCTGGGACTAGGCATGTTCAAAATGACAGTTCCATCTTTCCCTGTCTTTGCCAAACCACGTGTACAGCAAGGAGAAGACAATATGGAGCTGGCCAGGCAAAGACTCCATTTGCATAATAAGATTAGGGTGGGACAACCAGCCTTCCCCGCATGCTATGTAATTGTCACACCTTGTTGAACCAATCTGTGGGCTCTATATAAATCAGACACCACTCCTCAAGCCTGCCTATAAAATCTGGTGTTATACGCCACAGGCTGGTTTTTTCCTTTCAGGAGCCTCTCTTTCTCTCCAGGGAGAGAGAGGGGCTTTTTCTTTCTTTTGCCTGTTAAACCTCTGCTCCTATACTCACTCCTTGTGTGTGTCCGTGTCCTCAATCTTCTTGATGTGAGACGATGAATCCCAGGTATTTACCACAGACAACTATGCCGCTTCACCACAAATATTCTAGAAGAAGAGAAGAAAGACTTTTTTTTTTAACTTAGACAATATCCAGAAGCCGTAAAACAAAACAAAAGATAAATTTTACATTTTGAAAAATCCGTGTTTAAAAATTATAAGCAAAGGCAAAAGACAAATGGCAAAATGGGGGGAAATATTGCCAACTTACATTATAGATAAATCTCTTTAATATGTAAAGAGCTCTTATAATTCAATAAGACAAAAACAAAATAGAAAACTGGGCAAAGACTAAGAAAATATGATTCACTGAAAAGGAAATAGAAATAATTCATAAACATGAAAAATTACTTAACTTCACTCATAAGGAGATAAATATAAATTAAAACTACACCAAGATACTACTTTTTACTTATCAAGCTGGAAAAAATTTGATAACATGCTGTAATGACAAGGAAATATGGAAAAAGCACCCTCACGCATTACTTGTAGGAGGTTAAATTGGTACATTTCCTTGAAGGGCAATATCTATCAAAATCACAATGTAGGCCGAGCATGGTGGCTCATGCCTGTAATCCCAGCACTTTAGGAGACTGAGGCAGGCGGATCACTTGAGGTCAGGAGTTCAAGACCAGCCTGGCCAACATGGTGAAACTCCATCTCTACTAAAAATACAAAAATTAGCCAGGCATGGTGGTGGGTGCCTGTAGTCCTAGCTAATTGGGAGGCTGAGGCAGGAAATTGCTTGAACCTGGGAGGCAGAGGTTGCAGTGAGCCGAGATCACACCATTGCCCTCCAGCCTGGGGGACAAGTGCTAGACTCCGTCTCCAAAAAAAGAAGAAAAAAATCACAATGTACATACTCCTGACCCAATAATTCAGCTTTTACTGTTCTGGCTATATTTTATTATCTTGCCTCCTTTATCTTATTCCCAAAACTGAAATGTAATGGCTCCAATAGCAAATTTTTTTTTTTTTTTTTTTTTTTGAGACAGAGTCTCACTCTGTCACCCAGGCTGGAGTGCAGTGGCACGATCTCGGCTCACTGCAAACTTTGCCTCCCGGGTTCACGCCATTCTACTGCCTCAGCCTCCCGAGTAGCTGGGACTACAGGCGCCTGCCACCACACCCGGCTATTTTTTTGTATTTTTAGTAGAGACGGGGTTTCACCGTGTTAGCCAGGATGGTCTCGATCTCCTGACCTCGTGATCCGCCTGCCTCGGCCTCCCAAAGTGCTGGGATTATAGGCTTGAGCCACTGCGCCTGGCTTGAGATGAAGAATTCTTCCTGATTTGTTTGTTTTTGTTGCTATGGTGTGATATTGTGAAATACATATTTGGTCTTTGTCCCCATTTCCTGGTATACAACTCCTAAAATCCTTGGAATCTCCAAAGTGATGTATTTTTATGGTAATGAGTTGGCTGATGGCTGGCAGCTCCTAGTAGCATCAGGATAGGGCTGGTCACAGGAAACACCAAGGCCTAATTAAAAAGTTGAGACTTTACAGCCCCACTTCCCCAGTCTTGGGGGAAGGCAACAGGACTGGAGGCGAAGTTGATCACCAAAGGCCAACGATTTAATCAATCATGACTGTGTAATGCAGTTTCTCTAAAAACCCAACAGAACCAGGTTCAGAGTGTCCAGATAGCTGAACACATGAAGGTTCCTGAAGGGTGGAGGGCCCAGAGAGGTCAAGGAAGCACTGCACCCCTTCCCACATTTCTTATCCAATCCATCTGGTCGTCTGGTGTTCATCAGTATCCATGTAATATCCTTTATAATAAATCAGCAAATGTAAGTGTGTGTCTCCCTGAGTTCTGTGAGATGCTCTAGCAAAATAATTAAACCTAAGGAGGGGGTTGTGGGAACCTCAGTTTAGAGCCGCTTGGTCAGAAGCACAGGTAAAACAACCTGGGGCTTGTGAACTGGCATTATAAATGATGGGGGCAGTCTTGGAGTCTGAGCCCTCAACTCGTGGGATCTGATGCCATCTCCAGGTAGATAAGTGCAAGAATTGAATGAATTAGGGGACAGCCAACTGGTGTCTCCTGCAGAACTGACTGCTTGATTGGTGTGGTCACAGACGTCTTCTGTGTTGATTGTTGAGAGAGGCTCTAGGAGAAACTGAATTTGTTTTTTCCCTATATTCTCAGAATTGGTGTCAAAAATAGGACTTGGTGTTCACAGAAACATGTGGTTTGGGAAGAAAAAGGATAAAAGGGTGGGGGATGAGGAAGCTTTGATTCCTGGATGGCTCCATAAGCGTGGAGTAGCAGCTGTGCTGCAATAAGCTACCAAAGATAAAAGTTAGCAAAACACAGGGATGGATCTAACTTCCAGGGAGTTGGTTCACTGGGAGCATAAAGAAATGCAAGCTAGTCAGGCATGGTGGCATGCACTTGTAGTTCCAGCTACTAGGGAGTCTGAGGTGAGAGGACCTCTGGAGTCCAGGAGTTCAAGGCCGCAGTGAGCCATGCTCATGGCACTGCACTCCAGCCTGGGCAACAGAGTGAGACCTTGTCCGGAAAGAAAAAAGAAAAGAGGCCGGGCGTAGTGGCTCATGCCTGTAATCCCAGCACTTTGGGAGGCCGAGGCGGGCGGATCATGAGGTCAGGAGATCGACACCATCCTGGCTAACATGGTGAGACCCCGTCTCTACTAAAACTACAAAAAATTAGCCAGGTGTGGTGGCGGGCACCTGTAGTCCCACCTACTCAGGAGGCTGAGGCAGGAGAATCGCTTGAGCCCAAGAGGCAGAGGTTTCAGTGAACCAAGATCACGCCACTGCACTCCAGCCTGGTGACAGAGTGAGACTCCGTTTCAAAAAAAAAAAAGAAAAGAAAAAAGAAAAGAAAGAGACAGAGGAAAGGGGGGAGAAAAAAATGCAAGCTAATAAGAAAATGACAAATACTCATTTCCTAGGTAATTATTATCTGAAACAGCTAAAATGAAATTAAAAGAGAGTGCTGGCGGGGACCTTGATACTAAATCAAGCTCACATTTTAGTTGAGTCTGAGGTCTGGCCACCAGCCTCAAAGCTACTTCCAAAGGGAAAATTATTCAGGGACAACCGAAAGTACCTCTAAGGCCTGTGGTTACTAAGGTAGTCAATGTGGGGGAAAAGCAAAACCAAGAAACTACTGAAACCAGAAGGTATAGTGTGGAGGAATTGCTTCGTGTTGTGGATTGGCATCACCGGCTTCCTGAAGAACATTTACTAAAATGGATTGTGAGAGTAACTAATTTGGGGGCACTTTCTTTAGTTTTCAATGATGCCGGGTGGAAGAGCATTTTGAGTTGATGCCGAACCCACAGCTCACTATAGAACAATCACAGATGGTTGTATGGGATGCAGACACACAGCAGGTTATTCCCAATGGAATACAGCTTGCTGGACTGGATAAAAGCCACTGTAAGTTCTGCTTACCCTGTAAAGAGGAATTGTTCGATTCTCCCTAAAACCACCTTTGCAAAATTATAAGAGTAAGAGAAATCTGACGTAGTTGACTCCATCTTGCTTCTGACTTCCAAGCTGTCCTCAGTCATTCCTGGGTGTAGGCCAAGCTAATTTTGGGAAGAATTTAGTTTACAGTTTAACCTTAAAGCAAGGATGATAATGGGCCTTTCCAAAATTAAGCCACCTTTCTAAAACTAATGAAAGACTACCAGGTTAGGTTTATGAGATGGGCTTGAATTCTGCTAAGATGTAGGCATAGTTAAACGATAGCCAGGCATTGTTCTCAGGTCACATGATTTGTAACTTCCCCAATTACTCCTATAGCTAACATCACTATTATAGAACCTCAGATTGGTCTTTTGAGATATTTTTCAGACTTTTGCATTCTAGCAATTGACTAACCTCACCCAGAAGTGGACTTGTGACTCATGACCCAGCCTGTCCTGTGGCCCCACCCAAAGGTGGGCTCAGCATGCCCCAATGATTGTATCCCCCAGCAATCAGCAGCATCCATTTCCTAGCCCCTTGCCCACCAAACTATCCTTGAAAACCCCTAACCTCTAAACCTTCAGGGAGACTAATCTGAGTGATCACTCTGTCTCTCCAGGTGGCATGGCTGGCCTTGCATCGATAAATCTCTTTCTTTACTGCAGTGCCGCTGTCTCAGTGAATTGATTTTGTCTGGAGATTACAGGTCCTATAAATGCCAAGTGAAACACCCCGGATGAAGCAGCTCATATGCTTCATATGCGTGTGATGTGGAACTGGCTTTTTGATGACTGGGATGTTCACTTGCTGAAGAGGCCCATTACTCAGGTCATGGTAAATGCTGTGGTTAAGGGGCCCCTTTTAATGTGGATGCTCCATATAACTTTATTGATGAAAACCAAAAGACAGTTTAGGAAGTTTTATCCAAATTGCTCTCTTGGCTTCCCCTCATGGGTCTTACAGATGCTGATAAAAAACATTAGGTTAATTAATAAGAGACTGGGGAAAGGCAAAAGGGAGAGTCAAAGGGACTCATCTCAGTTGACCAAGAAAAAGCTGGCAGGTTTGTGGATGGCAGTTCCAAGGTGAATGAACAACATCCTATTTGGAAAGATGCCATTCTGATCCAAGAAGGTGAAAACATGGGCAGCTCTGTGGGCTGAATCCCATGCTATTTTCCTAGCAGCAGTGGAAGAATTGAAGGGTGGTCAAAGCCCCTGTGTGTGTGGTTTTCCTGACTCTCAGGCAGTGGCCAAGAGCCTGGCATGGGTATTGTGGTGATAAAGAATCAAGGAACTTCTACTTAACCAACTTTACTTCTGTTGGAGTAAAATCAGAAACTCCTTAAACACCCTCTGCACGATAGCAAAATTTAATGCTGAGTATTATCGATTCCTGTTAGAAGAGTGAAAAGTAACAGGTAGTTTTGGCAGCTCCTCTTTATTGATAGTTGCTTTGATCAGAATGATACGGTCAGCCTTCCATGTCTGTGTCTTCTGCATCCATGGATTCAGCCAATTGCAGATGGAAAATATCCAGGAAAAAAAAATTCTATAAAGTTCCCAAAAGCAAAACTGGAATTAGCGGCATGCTGAGTACTGTGCTGAATCCACACGAACGACGTGGTGTGTAGGCATCGTATTAGGTATTATGAGTGATCTGGAAGTGACTTAAAGCACAAGGAGGATGTGCATAGGTTCTATGCAAATATTACGCCCTTACATATCAGAGACTTGAGCGTTTGAGGATTTTGGTATCTGTAGGTGGTTCTGGAACAGACTCCCACAGATACGAAGGGATGACCGTATATGCTTTGGATTAAGTTGTGTGGTAAACTAATTCTTTTGTACATGGGGAAGTGGATTTAAAAAGAAAACAAGTTAATTCTTGACTTTCCTATTTATAAATGGGAATTTCTGGGGACTGGTTATCGACTGGAGTTTTTGGGGAATTTGAACGATGACTCACACTTTCAGTCTGGTGGGTTTTCTATTTTACTAGGAATCCTTGACAAAGGCTCTCTCTTCTGACCAAACTTTAGTCAGTCTCCTGAGTCCTTTCTGATTAGGCGCAGCCTTGGGCTCCTCTCTCTTCTTGTAGAATCCAGTTAGAGCAAGAACTTTGCCAAGTCAGTTGAGAGAAGGCCCTCATCTTTTGTATCTGATCCTTTTATCTTTTATCTGGTCACCCTGGCCTGCCTTCAGCAACAATAGTATCAAGTCATTTTAGCCAGAAGCCCCTTCTCCTTGATATTTCTTTTGATTTTTCATCCACTGACCCCCCCTTCTGCCCCTCTTGTTCCTTGATTATAAATTCCCACATGTCCTAATTGGACTTGGAGTTGAGTCCAGTCTCTCTCCCCCACTGCAAGACCTGTTGCAGGGGTCCCTATACATATTGTCATGGCCTCTTTGAATGGCCTTCTTTAACAAGTGTCATAAATTATATATATTTGAGATGGATTTTCGCTCTGTCACTAGGCTGGAGTGCAGTGGCGCAATCTCAGCTCACTGCAAGCTCCGCCTCCGGGTTCAAGTGATTCTCCTGCCTCAGCCTCCCAAGTAGCTGGGACTACAGGCATGCGCCACCACGCCCAGCTAATTTTTGTATTTTAATAGAGACAGGGTTTCACCATGTTAGCCAGGATGGTCTCAATCTCTTGACCTCGTGATCTGCCCACCTTGGCCTCCCAAAGTGCTGGGATTACAGGCGTGAGCCACCGCTCCTAGCCCATAAATAATTTTTTAACATGCTGTTTGGAGACATAGTAATTTTATTCAGCATCTTAGTTGGATATGAAGAACATGGAAGAAAGAGAAATCAAGTTAGTGGTGAGGAAAAGTTGTTCACATCTGATTGGGAATCCAGAATTTCAATCACCCAAACAGATGATAGAAGCTAAAAGAAGTTACAAGGTCATTGCATAGGAGGATTACTCTGATTCCTAGGAAACATGGGCTAGGATGCCTTATTTCAGTGGAGGTCATGAATTCCTGTTGCCATAGTCACTGTGAGAAAGGGCTTGGCCTTCTCACCTGTGATTCAGGTAGAATCATTCTGGAAGCATGTAATCAGTCCTCAAATTTTGTGTTCTGGTTTTGAATCTCTGACATATTCTGGTCCAAATTTTTTAACCCAGGTTCATTTGTCTCAATAGTTGGGTAGGTGCAGCTGGGCGCGGTGGCTCACACCTGTAATCCCAGCACTTTGGGAGGCCAAGGCGGGCAGATGACGAGGTCAGGAGATCGAGACCATCCTGGCTAACATGGTGAAACCCCGCCTCTACTAAAAATACAAAAAATTAGCCGGGCATGGTGGTGGGTGCCTGTAGTACCAGCAACTTGGGAGGCTGAGGCAGGAGATTGGCGTGAACCCGGAAGGCGGAGCTTGCAGTGAGCTGAGATTGTGCCACTGCACTCCAGCCTGGGTGACAGAGCAAGACTCCGCCTCAAAAAAAAAAAAAAAAGTTGGGTAGGTGATACACTTACTCTAACAAGATAAAAAAATAAGGAGAGAGATGATAAATAAATAAATCCGTGGTATTAGTACTACTGAATTAAGTTCAGGATCATCTGTTTGTGTTTTATCCGTGTTTGTTTTTTAACCCCTTTTAATGTTAAAAAGAATTCGATATACAATATTAGTCATGTGACTTTAAGTTTAAGGGTGAATAAAAACTAAGGTGACCTTGGAAGTAAGAAGGTGGCTACTCATCACTGTAGGCTTACCATCTGAGAAACCTCCATGGGAGGCCAGAATAACTTACTTCTTTTGCTTTTTTAAACTTAATTCCAGAAGACATCACATATGCATGACAAAGATAAAAGCACAAGTCTGCACCATTTCTGTGTTCTCAATAAATCTTATTGCCTAAAATATTAAGGAACGTTGAACTAAACATGTGTATTTTCTTTTAGCACATTAAAGATGCCATTCCATTGTCTTCTGGATTTATTGTTTCTGAAGTCAGCTGACAATCTTAAAAGGCAATGCATCTTTTCCCCGGCACCTTTTTTTTGTTTAATTAAATTAAATTAATTTTTTTTTTTTTGAGATGGAGTCTCAATCTGTTGCCCAGGCTGGAGTGCAATGGTGCAATCTTTGCTCACTGCAACCTGCATCTCCCAGGTTCCAGCGATTCTCCTGCCTCGGCCTTCCAAGTAGCTGGGATGACAGGCGCCCTCCACCACAGCCAGCTAAGTTTTGTATTTTTAGTAGAGACGGGGTTTCATCGTATTCGTCAAACTCATCTCGAACTCCTGACCTCAGGTGATCCACCTGCCTCAGCCTCCCAAAGTGCTGGGATTACTAGCGTGAGCCACCGTACCTGGCCCTGGCACCTTTTAAGATTTTATCTTTTTCCTTGGTTTTCAATGGTTCTACTAGAATGCACTGGGTGTGGCTGATTTTGTATTTATCCTGCTTAGGAGTCATAGAACTTACAGAATTTGTAATTTGATGTCTTTCATCAGTTTTGCGAAACTTGGACTCTTGGTTATTATCTTTTCAAATATTGTTTCTGCCCCTTTCTCTCTTTTTCTAGAAACCTGAATACCTGGTAGAACTTTTCATCATGTCCCATGTGTCTCTAATGCTTGTTTCTGTATTTTCCATTCTTTCCTTCTATGCTTCAGTTTGGATATTTTCTATTGATGTGCCTGCAGTTCACTAATCGTGTCTTTAGTTTTGTCTAACATCCAGAGTTCACAGCCTCATTTATTACACTTTTCACCTCTAGAGTTTTCATTTGATTTATTTTTATAGATTTCAATACTCAGGTGAAAATTTTCATCTTTTTTTCTGTTTTCTTGAAAATGTTCATCAGAGTTATTTTAATCAGGCAACTCCAATATCTGACTCATCTGTGGGTCTGTTTCTATTGTCTTTTTCTTTTTTTATCTAGTAACTTTTTAATGAGATGCCAAATATAGCTTCTAAAAAGTTGTAGAGGCTTCAAATGTTATCATTCTCTCAGGAGGGTTTTTCCCTTTCCTCCACAAAACCAAAGACAGGAGTGGCCAATAACCTTAATCCAATCAGGGACTGCATGGAGTGAAGGCTGGGCTGAGGTTCTGGTAGGGTTCAAGCTACCGTTGCCCTCCAGTTTCCAACTGGGAACATGGTGTAGGCTCTGCAGTAACCCACTTCCACCACCACCCTAGCAGATCTCAGACTCGAATCTTTGTTTTGCAAGTCTATCAAAAACTTCTGCTTTCAGAGGCCTTCCATTTACATTTCAGTTTCTTGCCCCATACAAGCCTTGAATTCAGCAATTGTCCTTGGAATTTCCCCCTACATCGCTGTGTTGGTTTTGTGTCCCCAGCAGTGGCCCTCTGTGGTCTCAAAGTCTAAATTCTCAGCCTCATGCTTGTATCCAGAACTGGCAAAAGCCCTCACACACCAATACAAGCCACTGCAGACATTAGCTCACCCCTTGAAGGTTCCTCATTCTCTGGAATATCAAGTCCCCCCATTCTTGCCTCAGCAGCTTTCACTGCCTTCAAACAGATGTTTTCTGACTTCGCTTTCTGGCTTTTCTAGTTGTTGTTAGTGGGAGCCTTGGTCTACTGCAAGCTGCTCCATCACACCTGAGCGTGGACATTCAATTTCCTGATGGTCTACTACGTAAATGTAAAAGTGAAACTATCTTTGTTACTCATCTCAGAGAAAGCCCTCAGAAAAAAATGTCAGAACAGTTTCTGTTGTCCTTCTACCTTGCTGCAATTGCTACTGAGCAATCAACGGGCTTTTTCCTGATGTGCTAGAAGCCAACACCATGGCACGGGCTTTTGAGAAAAGAAAGGCTTTATTGTGAGTTGACTGTCAAGGAGACATGAGGAAACCCTCAGCTCTGTCTCCTTGAGCTTGGGGCTGGGTTGGGTTTTATAAGCATAGGGTAATGACGCATGATCGGATTAGATTTTGCGATGAGGTGATGCTGGGATGCTCATCTGACTGGACCCTGCCATGGGGTGACACCAGGGCTTGATCTGATTGCATTCTGGATCTCACCATGCAGTGCCCATTTCTTAATTCAGTCCCTGCTTTGATCTGAGCACTCAGGTTCCGCCCCTGGTTGCATGCTTGGTTCACCTGGGCATCCTCAGGTTACGTGCGAAACCTTCCATCTGGGAGTCCATGCAACTGAAAAACAACTCACAACTTGGGTATATAAAAGGCGAATCAGATTGGTCTGGTGCGGTTATACAGTTATTAATATCCCTTTGTCAGAAGTCAAAATTACCACAAATTTAGATTAAAGATCTATTGGTTTTTATTGATTCATGAATCAGGATGGCATCTTCTCTGAAAATTTAGAAACGGTGCTCCAACGAGCTGGGCAGAGGAGGTGGGCTTTATAGGTAGAAAAGGGCTAAAGAAAGCAGCAACAGGGAACGAAAAACGGATTGGTCACTGCAAGGTTACAGGAGTCCCCTCTCGTCCACACACAGGTGGTGTGTCCCAAGACCCACAGTGGATGCCTGAAACCTCGGATAGTACTGCACCCCATTTTACATACACACACATATATATATACTATATATATACACACACTTCATTTTTCCTATACATACGTACATACCTACGATAAAGTTTAATTTATTAGGCACAGTAAGAGATTAACAGCAATAACTGATAATAAAATAGAAGCGTCACTGTTGAGCACAGCCTTGGGAATAGGACCTTGGAAGTAGGCAGAGCTCCCTAGGCCTTGTGGTCCCTAGTGGCCGTGGACAGCATGGGGGAGGAAATTCCCGGGAAGCAGCCTAATTTCACCCCAGGGAAGCCCCTGGTGGGCTTGTGGAGGGCGGGGTGAAAAGCCGCTGGTTTAGGGAAGGGGTCCAGCCTAGGCTGAGGAATGAGATGCGGGTTGGGACGGTCCCGACCCTTCCCCCAGCCTCTTTCAAGGATTCTGGAGAAACAAAGCCAGGATCCATTTCCTCTTGATGGCTGGCAAACTGAGCCCGGGCGGGAAGTCCTGGAAGACTGAGCCTGGGGTGGCGTTGGACACCAACTCCCAGGTCCTCGCCCCACACGGCCACATCCTCGCCCAGCCCCGCCTCCGCTTAGCTCCGCCCCGTCGCGGCTCCGCCCCGCGGTAACCACGCCCACACAACCGTATCCCCGCCCACAGCTGGCTTCGCCTTGGCCCCGCCCACAACCCTCTTTCCAAGCGGCGGCGGCGGCGGCGGCGCGAAGGCGACAGCGGCGGCGGGGGCGGGGCTGGCCTCACCCGGAATGAAAACAAACGGCGGCCGCTGCCGCATCCGGGCACTCTGCTGGTCGCGGCGGGAGTGGCGTGGCGCAGGTGAGGACACGGCGGCCGAGTGTCCTCGACCCCAGCCTCAGCAGCACTGCTTGGCGCCCCGGTTCCCGGTCCGACTGGGCACCTCTCCTGGCCAGGGGTGGAGCGGCCGCGGGGCGGGGGTGAGCAGCCATGCGTGGAGCTGGGCCGGGGCCGGGGCCGGGGCCGGGAGCGGTGGGCCGGGCTTCGGGACGCGCTGGCCGTTCGGGGCCCTTTGGTTTGCCCTGAGTTAGGCAGAGGTGTGGGGTATTTAAAAGAAAATATTGAGTGTATCGGTTTGGGGAGAGAAAGGAATAAATATGTCTATAAAAAATTAGCCAAATGCTATACTTGAATCGTAACACTCCGAGTATACCATTTGGGATTTATTTGCAATCAAAGCCAGATTTTCTTTGCTATTTAATGACAAGACACTTGATTTTCTCGAACCTTGACGACCTGATTCTATCATTCTCACCTCCTTCCCTTTTATTTTTAATCAAGAATCTTTCATTTTCCTAAGAAAAAATGAATGTGTCTTGACTAGATATAGTTGTGTTTCAACTATATATAATGTATACTTGAAAAGGTGTGGCTAAATGTAGCAATGATCGATTCATTACAAAAGTGAAAGTGAAATTTTTAAAGGATCGTTATAACGTTTCACTTTCTGCTTGGACCACGGAGTGATATTAATGAGTTTCGTCTTTTCTTAGTTACAATGTGAAACATTGTATGGCATGCATGAAACTTTTTCAGTTCTCATTTCAGTTAAAATTAAAAACTGACTTATTAAACTTGACTTAAAATATGTCGCCACTTACTCTGTTGTCTATAACTGAAGTTCCTTAAGTTTCAAGACAGTGGTTTAATTTTTTTTTAACATTAAATCTTATTCGGTGTAACCCTGGAGCTCTTGTTTGCTCCCTGGAGTGTCTGACACGCACTGGGTTTGTAACACTCCTTCGTCCTTCTGTCAAGTGGTGGCTTGGATGGCATCTTTTTAAAAATTTTTTATTTGTTTATTTTTTTAGTAGAGACGGGGTTTCACCATGTTGACCAGGCTGGTCTTGAACTCCTGACCTCAGGTGATCCACTGGCCTCGGCCTCCCAAGTGCTGGGATTACAGGTGTGAGCCACCGCGCCCGGCCTTGGATGGCATCTCTGAGTACCGCATCAGCCTTTCAAATTGCTTGGCTCCAGTAACCAGCCTGTGAAATTACTGTCCCCCAGTGGGGAGACAGTAGGGTTGCTGTGATATTTTATTCAGAATTTCTGAAGATTCATGAGTAGTATGTAAAGTAGTTTTTAAAGTTATTTGTGTTTGAAAAGCTAACGCTCTAAGTACTAATATGCTTTGCTGTGATAAGCCGTTTGTCAGTGCTTGAAAAATGGAGGATTCTCCCATGGGCCACCCAGGTTGCACACAGCAGCCTCATTGGCTGTGTTATTCCTTCCTCTCTTTTCTCCTCCCTGTCCTGATTAGCCTAATTCTTGTCCCCGCACTGACATAAAATAGATTTGAACTTTCTTTTAAAAAATATTTGTTTATGAAATACACAAGCTACCAAAGTTTTCAAAGATTTCAAAGTTGTGTGAATTGGGTTTGGGGGGATGTGGAATACTGGCCCTCAATAGAAGAAAGAAATTTATCTTGGTAATATTAACTCATATTTTTTCCACTCTCTAGAACTTGTCTTCATCATTCAGGGGCTAATAACATTTTTCTTTACTTATTGCTTGTCTGATTTGGGAAACCTTAAAGCGCTGTGCTACACCTGCCAGCTGCCTTACATCTCAGCCGCCTCACTCACCTTTGAATTGCTGTGCTAGTATGGGATGAGTAGACAGCTCCATCGCGGTACATACTTCTCTGGGAGAGAGAAGTTACATACCTGGAACAGGCAAGCAGCAAGGGACTCCATGACGGAAGTTCAGAGTCCAGTGTTGTGGGTGGAAGTTGTGCTCGTTAAGATGCTGCCTAATTTTGTGTCTTTGCCTGAGTCATGGTACAAACTCAGGGCCCTAATTTTCTCAGCTGTAAAATGATCCGATCAGTGTTAGATTTGAATAGTAGGGCCAGGCGCGGTGGCTCAGGCCTGTAATCCCAGCACTTTGGGAGGCCGAGGCGGGCGGATCACAAGGTCAGGAGATTGAGACCATCCTGGCCAACACGGTGAAACCCCATCTCTACTAAAAATACAAAAAATCAGCCGGGCGTGGTGGCGGGCGCCTGTAGTCCCAGCTACTGGGGAGGCTGAGGCAGGAGAATGGCGTGAACCCGGGAGGCGGAGCTTGCAGTGAGCCGAGATTGTACCACTGCACTCTAGCCTGGGCGACAGAGTGAGACTCCCTCTCAAAAAAAAAAAAAAAAAAAAAAAAAAAAAAAAAGTAGATGTGCTGTTAGGCTGTTAATCAGAAAATATGCAAAATTTTCCTAGTATTGTAATCTTTTTAATTTAAAAAATTCTGACATAGAAAATATTTATATATTTATTATTATTTTGAGACGGAGTCTCACTCTGTTGCCCAGGCTGGAGTGCAGTGGTGCCATCTCGGCTCACTACAACCTCTGCCTCCTGGATTCAAGCGATTCTCCTGCCTCAGTCTCCCGAGTAGCTGGGATTACAGGTACCTGCCACCACGCCCGGCTAATTGTTCATATATTTTTTTTTTTTTAGTAGAGATAGGGCTTCACCATGTTGACCAGGCTGGTCTCGAACTCCTGACCTCAGCTCCTGAACTCAGCCTCCCAAAGTGCTGGGGTTACAGGCCTGAGCCACCACACCCATCCGAAAATATTTATTATCGATAGTTTACAGTTCAAGCAAGCTTTTCTTTATATTTAACTACCAGGATGGTTGGCCTTTTGTTTTATGTTAAACTAGCCAAAGTATGAGAGAATTTACAAGCTCACGCCTGTAATCCCAGCGTTTTGAGACCAAGGTGGGTGGATCACTTGAGGTCAGGAATTCGAGACCAGCCTGGCCAACATGGCGAAACCCCGTCTCTACTAAAAATATGAAAATTAGCCGGGCGTGGTGGCGCATGCCTGTAATCCCAGTGAGTAGGGAGGCTGATGCAGGGGAATTGCTTGAACCCAGGGGGCGGAGCTTGCAGTGAGCCGAGATCGCACCACTGCACTCCAGCCTGGGCGACAGAGCGAGACTCCGTCTCAAAAAAGAAAAAAAGAAGTTCACGACTCGAGGGATTTATCTTTCTCTTATTTTCTCTTTTCTCTTAGATAAGAGAATAGCAGATTAAGAAATAGAAACATGTAATAATCCTTGCTACATATTAGCAACTTTGAAATACATATTTTATATATGTAATATATATAATTGAACATATATTTCTATATATATTTTTAGAGAAGTCTGGAGCTCATTTAAACCATAGTAATTTATATTTAATGACAGAGGAAGGGAGCTTTGCTTACCCAACAAAGCACCTTAACATGTAGGTAAGTTATTAACATTTTAAAATGCGATGTGGAGTTTTATTAATGTATTGTTTTGCTTTCAGGGATGGCACAAAAGAAATATCTTCAAGCAAAATTGACCCAGTTTTTAAGGGAAGACAGGATTCAACTTTGGAAACCTCCATATACAGATGAAAATAAAAAAGTTGGTTTGGCATTAAAGGTATTTTTCTTTTAAGACATCAATAATTAGCAGCATTATAAATCTCCTTGGTAAATAAGATTCTGAATTGTCAGGCATGACCATATAAACTTTTGGCATAACCAAAAGCATTAGTGGTGAGCGGGTACCCACTTTTTACTAGGAACTGACAACCTTATTTTTGTTCATTAATATTTTATTCACATGAGGATGTTATCTAATTTTTCAGGCATATATTTTTAATACCATCACAGGATTACATAACATTATTTATCTGGAACTCATTTTGACCCATTAGTGGAACAGTATTGGTGCCAGTAAGTAATTGCATTGTGTGTTCAAAGTGACAGTGTCTTGGCTCATTCTCGGTCCTCCTTGCTATCATCATCTGCTGTGAAACAATTGCTCCTTTTTCCCCCAGTTTTTTTGATGCTCTCACTATCAGTGTTCATTTTTCCAAAATAGGTTTTTTCTAACAGTTGTATCTCAGTTTTTCATGGCATCATCAGAAATGATATTGTATGTAAGTGATGTTTCTAGAAACTGAAGTCTGCTTGCTTTTCTAAGCAGAGAAACAGTACTCATTTTTGCCAGAAATCTATCATACTGGAATTTCCTAGCATGTACTTCTCTGCTCTCATTCAGAGTATCCTGAACATGATGTAACATTTATCAGGGACTAAGGATTGTCATGAGGCATTAAATTGCTCTGTGTTGTGACATAATGATGTGCTTGGGAGGTGACAAACTGTATTAGGGTCCTAGTTCTTCTGTTTCTTCTGTTCCAGGCAGGCCTCACTTTTTCTTTGCAACCCACCTTCTGACCTTGCTTCTGAATTTATTGTTACAGTCTCTTGGTTTAGAAACTAGGTGTGGCATAAAGGAAAAATATTTGACCTTTGTCCCTGGTTCCTGGCAGAGCCAAAACTCTTGGGATTTCCTAAGTGGTAAGCATGATAGGAGCAACCTTTGTGCTCATGAGGCTTGGTTGCCCCTAGATAGCTTCAGGATGGGGCTGGTCACCAAAAGTACCAAGCCGTGATTAGACACTTGAAACTTTCCACCCTCCCCTCCAACCTCTGGGAAGGGGAGATTGAGCTGATGACTAATACTAATGGTCAGTGATTTAATCAGGCCTGCATAATGAAACTTCCATACAAACCCCTAAGTGACAGATTTTGGACAGCTTCCAAATTGGTGAACACATCCACATGTCGGGATGTACACCCCCAACTCCATGGGACAGAGGCTTCTATGCTCAGGACCCTTCCAGACCTTGCCTTAGTACCTCTTCATGTGAATGGTTATTTGTATCCTTTGTAATGAACTATATTCATAAGTATACCATTTTCTGGAGTTCTGTGAGTTGTTCTAGCAAATCATGGAACCTGAAGGGGGTGCTTGTGTGAACCCTCGACTTTGTAGCTAAGTCAGACAAAAGTATGGGTAACCTGGGGACCAGATACTTGGTAACTGGTATCTGAAGTTAGGGCTTTTTTGTGGGCTGAGCCCTTAAACCTGTGGAGTCTAACGCTAACTCTGGGTAGTTAGTGTCAGAATTGAATCGTAGGACTTCCAGTTGGTGTCAGAATTGGCTGGTGACAGGAGGAAGAAAGAAATCCTCACTAGTTAGGTTTTCTAGAAAATTATAGAAAGTTTTTAAAAAAGTATTTATAATATATATTCTAGGTTTTAAAAAGTATGTATATAAATACAAAAATATAAAGAATGTATTTTTAAAATATGTTAAACATCGTTAACATAGGTATATTCTTCCTCTTTTCCTACGTAACTATTAAAAAAATGTATTGCTGGACACAGTGGCGCATGCCTGTAGTCCCAGCTACTCAGGAGGCTAAGGCAGGAGGATCACTTGAACCCGGGAGTTGGAGACTGTAGTATGCTATGGTCCCACCTGTGAATAGCCACTGCACTCCAGCCTGGGCAACGTAGTGAGACCCCGTCTCTAAAAGAAAAAAAAAGTATATATAGGTTTATGTTACTTACAAAATTTTTTTTCCTTTTTTTTTGAGACAAGGTCTTGATCTGTTGCCCAGGCTGGAGTGCAATGGCATGGCCATAGTTCATTGCAGCCTCACACTCCTGGGCTCAAGTGATTCTCCCACCTCAGCCTTGGGAGTAGCTGGGACTACAGGTGCATGCCACCATGCCTGGCTAATATATTTTTAGTTTTTGTAGAGACGGGGTTTCACTTTGTTGCCCAGGTTGGTCTTGAAGTCCTGGGCTTGAGCAATCCTCTCACCTTGCCTTCCAAAGTGCTGGGATTACAGGCATGAGCCATCGCGCCCAATCTATACTCATATCTATAAAGTTTTCCAACTTCACTTTTATCATGAACATCTCTTCTGTCATAAATTTATGCTTACACCATAATTTTTACGTACTACATGGTATTACATTATGAATTTAATGAAACCTTGACCTTTAGGGTTTTTTGAAGTGTTTACTGTTTTATGAGATGTTTAATGAAACATTAACCTCACATGCAGATACAGATTGAGAGGAGTATCCCGTAACTGAAATATTTGGGACTGGAAGTGTGTTTGGATTTTGGAATGTTTGCTTTATACCTACTAGTTGGGCATCCTAATCTGAAAATTCAAAATTCAAAATACTTCAGTGTGCATTTCCTTTGAGCATCTCCAGATGCTGAATTTTGGCGATTTCAGATTTTTAGATTAGAGATACTCATCTGGATTTTTTTGGGGAGGAACCATAATGACTTTGCTCTCAGTAATAACTGGTTCCCATCCTTTCTTGAGCCCTTTCAATCTTCTTTTTTTTCTCAATTCTAAAGCTCTCCCTTACAAATAGTTTTACAACTAGTACCCATGATTCACAGATTTTCATTAAGAGAATTGTTTAAGTCCAACTTGATTTGTTCTCACAAGTTTGAAAAATTGGAATATTTTCTGGGTTTTTTTTTCATTTTCCCTTCCAGTGGAGTTGAACAGTTCATTATACTTTTTAAATAGATCACAGTCACATAAGTCATAGCCCACCCTTTTCTTCTCCTTAGAAGATTCTCTATTATTATTATTATTTTACTATTTGTAGGTAGAAAACATTTATCAAATAAATGTTTTTGTTTTTTGCTTTTTGCTTTTTTTTTTTTTTTTTTTTTTTTGAGGCGGAGTCTTGCTCTGTCACCCAGGGTGGAGTACAGTGGCACAATCTTGGCTCACTGCAGCCTCTGCCTCCTGGGTTCAAGCGATTCTCCTGCCTCAGCCCCCCAAGTAGCTGGGCCTACAGGCACACGCCACCATGCCCAGCTAATTTTTGTATTTAAGTAGTTATGGGGTTTCACCATGTTGGCCAGGCTGGTCCCAAACTCATCACCTCAAGTGATGCGCCTGCCTCGGCCTCCCAAAGTGCTGGGATTACAGGCATGAGCCACCGCGCCCAGTCTCAAATAAGTGTTTTCACTTTTTCCTGGCCTCTCTAAACTCCACACCTCTCAAGATGTCAAACCACAGTGTGGACTGCAGTGTAACGGGGCGACCTCCACTCATCAGAGTTGATGGCCTTAGAGTCTTTCATGCCCTTTTCTATATTTTGCCTTTTTTTTTTTAAGTCAGTATTGCATTTTCTGATTTTTCTTGATAGGACCTTGCTAAGCAGTACTCTGACAGACTAGAATGCTGTGAAAATGAAGTAGAAAAGGTAATAGAAGAAATACGTTGCAAGGCAATTGAGCGTGGAACAGGAAATGACAATTATAGAACAACGGGAATTGCTACAATCGAGGTGTTTTTACCACCAAGACTAAAAAAAGTGAGTAATTTCCCTAAATTTGAGTAGGCACTAATGTCCAGTTAGTGATGAGGTCAAATAAATTGTTGTTGTTTGGAAAGTTACAATCCAAAGTCAGAATTCTTTTAAGTGACTTTACATATTGAACAATTTATCAGCTTGAAAGTCAATGTTACAAATTCTTAAACTGGAACATTCCCAAGGTAGGCTTTTAGAGACCCTCTTGGGCTTCTAAAATGCCACAGAGCTGTATGTCACATTCTGATCCTTTCTAGCGTGTGAACGTTGAGAAATAATGGGGAATAAAGGATTCCCAAGTTTCCTAGAAGCCTGTGCAGGAGGACACAGCACAGAAGGCTTCATCCTTTTCCTGTTCCAGTAGAGGTCAGAGGGCAGTCCGCTGAGTGCTCTCAAGCAGGGCCGAGGAGATCTGGGTGGGGTCACCTCCTCTCATTGCCATGGCCAGGTAGTTTGCATCTAGAAATGTCACTGTGGCAAGGCACCCAGAGCCTCTTGGGACTGATCGATGCCAGCACTCTCAGAAGAAATAAGAGCATAGGCTCCAGCCCTACTGGGTCTGTGGTTTTTCTCCTCATGTGCGGAGACAAGAGATCGTAGAAATAAACACACAAGACAAAGAGATAGAAGAAAAGACAGTTGGGCCCGGAGGACCACTACCACCTAGACGCGGAAACCGGTAGTGGCCCCGAATGCCTGGCTGTGCTGTTATTTATTGGATACAAGGCAGAAGGGGCAGGGTAAGGACTGTGAGTCATCTCCAATGATTGATAAGGTCACAGGAGTCATGTGTCCACCGGACAGGGGGCCTTTCCCTTGTAGGTAGACGAGGCGGAGAGAGAGGACAGCTTACGTCATTATTTCTTCTATGCTCTTCTCAGAAAGATCAAAGACGTTAATACTTTCACTTTCTGCTGCTGCTATCTAGAAGGCGGAGCCAGGTGTACAGAGCGGAACATGAAAGTGAAACAGGAGCGGGACCACTGAAGCACAGCGTCACAGGGAGACGTTTAGGCCTCTGGATGGCTGTGGGCGGGCCTGACTAATGTCAGGCCTTCCACAAGAGGTGGTGGAGCAGAGTCTTCTCTAACTACCCCAGGGAGAGGCTCCCTTTCCCAGTCTGCTAAGTAACAGGTGCCTTCCCAGGCACTGGCGCTACCGCTAGACCAAGGTCTGCTAAGTAACGAGGGCCTTTCCGGGCACTGGAGTTACCGCTAGACGAGGGAGCCCTCTAGTGGCCCTGTTCGGGCATAACAGAGGGCTCACACTTGTCTTCTGGTCACTTCTCACTGTGTCCCTTCAGCTCCTATCTCTGTGTGGCCTGGTTTTTCCTAGGTTATAATTGTAGAACAAAGATTATTGTAATATTGAAATAAAGAGTAATACTACAAACTAATAATGATATTCATATATAATCATATCTATAATCTATTTCTAGTGTAACTATTCTTATTCTATATATTTTCTTTATTATACTGGAACAATTTGTGCCCTCGGTCTCTTGCCTTGGCACCTGGGTGGCTTGCCGCCCACATATATATTAATATGTAAAACCTCATACATGAATGGTCATAGCAACACTATTCAGTAGCTGAGAGATGGAAATAGTCCAAATGTCCATCAACAGATGAAGGGATAGATAAATGTGGTCTATTCATACGATGGAAAACTGTTCACAATGCAAAGGAATGAAGTGCTGATGCGTCCACAACGTGGGTGCACCTGAAAACATGATGCTCAGGGAAGAAGCCAGACACAAAAGGCCACGTACTGCACTATCCCATTTATATGAAATGTCCGGAATAGGCAAATCTGTAGCAGCAGAAAATGGATTAGTGGTTGCCAGGGGCTGGGGGGCAAAGGGGAGGGAATGGGGTGCAGGCCATGGTGTTTCTTTGAGGGATGGTGGAAATGTTCTGAAATGTTAAAGACGTCCAGCTGTGTGAGACGGCCCCTCTGAGCAGCCCTGCCTGGTGGTGCCACGCTGCCGCCCCCTTGAGGACGTGCAGGTCACAGGGTCAGCCTGTGCTGGGTTATGTTCAGTAGACTTCTAGGCAGGCAGCATTTTAGTTTTTAACAGTGAACTCAGTTTATATCCTCTGCCGTCAGCTTTTCTGATTTCACAGGGTAATCTCTCCAAAATGGGTTAAATTCAAGTACGTTTTACTTTGTCTTATTTTTAACAGGATAGGAAAAACTTGTTGGAGACCCGATTGCACATCACTGGCAGAGAACTGAGGTCCAAGTAAGTATCTGTGTGCTCTGTGTCCTAGGTGCTCTGGGCCTTTTTACATTGGCTTATTTGATCCTCTGTGAGCGTCCTCTTAAGATAGGTAGGGCAGGTATTATCTTCATTTTATAAAAGAGAAAATTGAGGCTTTGAGGTTGAAGGACTTATTAGAGCTGTCACTGGTAGGTAAGTGGCAAAGTGAGGACTCAAGACTTGCAAGCACTATTTCCTGGTGTAACTTCCGAGCAGGTGGGAACTCCATGCCTATCATATGGTAGGCACTTGGTGCATGTTTGAGTGAATGAGTGAGTGATACAAGCAGGAGACACCTGGTACTCACTAGCTCATTAGTTTTGAATTACTATTTTTTTTCCCTAATGTATTAATAGCTTGCTATGACCTTCAGCACGGTGTTTTATCTGATTTCAGGCTGTTGGCCCATCTGTAAAACACACACACACACACACACGTTTGCCACATACTAGTGAAATCCTAACTTTGAGATCTGGTGGGTTATTTCATCTCCTTGTATGTTTTAAAATGGTGTTTGGAGCACCTCCAGGGCTAGCTAGCGGGTGTATTTCTTCAGCTGATTTTTCTCATTTCCTTCTTTGGTCTACATCAGGGCTGTCAGGGGTGGATTCAGGAAGTGGCATGCAACACACATGCGTAGAAGACCCTGTGGATCAGCCCCCGCTATGGGCTTCTCCAGGGAGACCACAGAAGGTATAGGTAGATTTTCTCCGGATGTGCAACTAGGGCTTCCTGTTCACATGGATCTACAGCACTGTGGTCTCCACTGCCTGAGGAAACAAGCAGTAAAACGGAAAGTTTAAAAAGGACCTTGTCTCCTACAGTTTCAAATAGCCGTCTAGTAAGATGGCTTTATTGTGATGTTTGTGAGTCAGTCAGTTGAAATCCTGGGTGTTTCTGATAAAATGGATAAAAGAGCTATCATGATTAAAGCCTTCTTTTAAAAAATATTTATTTTTTAGAGACAGGATCTTGCTCTGTCACCCAAGCTGAAGCACAGTGGCATAAATATAGCTCATTGCAACCTCAAACTCGCGGTTCAAGCAATCCTCCTACCCAAACCTCCCAAGCAGCTAGGGCCACAGGCATGGGCTACCAGGCCTGGCTAATTTTTAAAAATTTTTTGTAGAGATAGGATCTCTCTGTTGCCCAGGCTGGTCTTGAATTCCTGGGCTCAAGCCATCCTCCCACCTTGGCCTCCCAGGGTGTTGGGATTACAGGCGTGAGCCACCGGGCCTGGCTAATGTCTTTTTAATGGATAATAAATCGCAATTTTGTTTTCCTACAATTTTCACTGGTTTTATTTTACAGAATAGCTGAAACCTTTGGACTTCAAGAAAATTATATCAAAATTGTCATAAATAAGAAGCAACTACAACTAGGTATGTATGGCAAAGTATGCATAATTTTTTAATGAACCAAATATAGAAATAATGACTTCCCTTTTTTTCTCAATGTCTTTTCAAAAATTTGTAGCTTTATTTCATTTATAATCCAAAAGTGATTTAGAAGTTTACTAAAATAAAAATGTAAAGCAGAAAATAGCTTTTCCAATAAATATTTACTGTCTGTTCTATGATAGTGGGAAGAAAGACACTCATTACAGCTTAGATAAAATGTTAGAGAATGGAATGTAAGGTGTGCTGAGTGTAAGATGCCAGTTCCAGCAAATTCTTCTTGAAGGAGAAGAGCTAAGGCTGTGTCAGGACAGTGGGGAGGCCATGGTGGCGTGCGTTCCAGACTGAGAGCCTTATGTCAGAGCACTATGGTGTGAATTTGAGGAACTGAGGAAGGTCCAGTGTGGCTGTGTGTGGAGAATGAGGGGAGGGGAGTGCTTTTTAAGGATGGAGGGGCAAGCAGAGGCCACACTGTGAATTCCCAGGAGACATTTGGCATTGTCTGGAGACATTTGTGGTGCTTATAACTTGGTGACGGGGGAGGTTGTGCTGCTGTCATTTAGTGGGTGGAGGCTAGGGATGCTGCTGAATGTGCAATGCCCAGAACAGGCCCCACAACAAAGACTTGTCCAGTCCCAGATGTCAGTAGCGCAGCTGTTGGGAAACGAGAAACTAGATGACCTTCCTCAGTGTTAGTACATTTCTCCTAAGATACATGGGAAGACATCTGTGCTGCGGAGTGATACACAATTCTGTTTGTGTTTTAGAAAGGTCACGCAGTAGGGGAATGTATTTGAAGGTGGCATGAGTTGACTTGGGGAGACCAGTTAGCTACTGCAGCCATCCATACAAGCACTGTAGCCCACTGGTTTCCAGTGCGTTCCTGTGGCCTCGAGAATGAAGTCCACATTTCTTAGCTTGATCTAAGACAGCCCTTCACAGCTCACCCTAGCCTTGCTTTCCAGCGTCATCTCTAGCAATTTCCCATTGTCTATTTTAGATGTCATGGATATCTTTTCACTGTTGCCTCATCCCTCTGTTAATTCTGTTTGTGGCATCCTTCATTGGACAGAAACCTTGATTTTGATGTCATCAAATCCATTGCCTATGGTTTGTGTTTTGTTGAAGTCCTTTCCCTAACCCCAGGGCCACAAGGATAGTCTACATTTTCTTGAATATTAGCTTAATCTATAAGAGGTCTTCAGTCTGTCCAGAGTCCCCCTTTCTATATAAAGTTTAAGGGTTCCTTTATTTTTCTTCCTATATAATTCATTAAATAGTCTGTCTTTTCCCTGCTGATTGGTGGTGACCCTTTTTGGGGGGCCCTGTTCCTATATTTTCTGTTCTTCCTACTCACCTGTGGTGTTTTTTATTACTGTGGCTTTGTTGCAGTCTTAAAATCTGGTGACCTCCCCCCACCCTTGCTTTTTTTTTTTTTTTAATCAAGATGGCTTAACCACTGGTGGACCTTTATTTTGTGTGTTAATGTTAGAAAGGTTGTCATATTTCTCAAAAGAAAAAAATCCAGCTAGTTTTCCAGAAATGTGTTCACATTTGTGTTTTTTAGTTCACAATATTATTTGTTATTTTAAAATCTGTTTGCATCTATGTTTACCCTTTTTTATTTTGTTTATTTGCATCTTTGACATAATTTTTGTTAGATTTGTGTATTTGGCTAATTTATTCATGGAGCCAGCTTTTGATTTTGTTACTGTTTTCTTTCATTCTGTTTCACTGATTTCTGCCCTTTATTTCTAATTTATGTATGAGGAAACTGAGTCCTAGAAGATAGGTAGTTTATTCAGGGCCACAGAGTTAAAACGGTAGATGGAGCCCATGGTCTTTGCTTTTATTTATTTATTTAGAGATAGGGTCTCTATCTGTCACCCAGGCTGGAGTGTGGTGTGCGATTGCAGCTCACTGCAGCCTCCACCTCCCAGGTGCAAGCAATCCTCCCACCTCAGCTTCCCACTGAGTAGCTAGGACCACAGGTGCATACCACCATGCCAGGCTAATGTTTTATTTTCTGTGGAGACGGGGTCCACTGTGTTGCCCAGGCTGATCTTGAACTCCGGGGCTCAAGTGATCCACCTGCCTCAGCCTGCCAAAGTACTGAGATTACAGGTGTGAACCACCACGCCCTGCTGGTCTTTGCTTTTAACCGTGACAGACTGCAGTACAGCTTCTTGTTTGTAGCTGTGAATTGGCTTTATTATTTTTTCAACTAGAGGGTAGGAGAGGTGTGTTATACTTTCTCATTTTCCGTTTATATTGTCTAGCACAATGTTCTCCCTGTAGTAGATTATCAAATATCTGTTGCTTTGATCTGGTCTTAGGCTGAGAATAAAGAAGATTAGAAAAGATGAATTTAGTTGATTCTATTGTCGCTAGCTGATTTTAACCACTGCTTAACAGTGACATAGTTACAACCAAATGTAGGCATATTTTTACCAATTATGTGGCGTGATGGTATGCAGGATTAAGAATTCCATTTTGTCCAGGAGCAAGGCCTGATGTCTGTAACCCAGCACTTTGTGAGGCTGAGGTGGGAGGATCACTTGAGCCCAGGAGTTCAAGACAAGCTGGGCAACATAGTGAGACTCCATCACTGCGAAAAATACAAAAATTAACTGGGTGTGATGGCATGGGCCTGTAGTCCCAGCTCCTCGGGAGGCTGAGGTGCAAGACTTGCTTGAGCCCAGGAGATGAAGGCTGTGGGGAGCCATGATCGTGTCACTGCACTCCAGCCTGGGTGACAGAGTGAGACCTTGTCTCAAAAATAAAAACAATTCCATTTAACATAGAAAATGGACTGTTACCTGGTAAGCTTAATGGCTTTTTAAAATAATAGGCAGTTCTGATTTTTATAGGGAAAACCCTTGAAGAACAAGGCGTGGCTCACAATGTGAAAGCGATGGTGCTTGAACTAAAACAATCTGAAGAGGACGCGAGGAAAAACTTCCAGTTAGAGGAAGAGGAGCAAAATGAGGCCAAACTCAAAGAAAAACAAATTCAGAGGACCAAGAGAGGACTAGAAATACTGGCAAAGAGAGGTACCCAGAGCTCTGGGCTTGTCACCCACTCAGCTGCTTGGGGGCAGCACTGGATCACACAGTTGGGGGATCATGGCTCTCACTGAGTCTCACCTCAACAGTCTAACATTTTTAAGGCTGTCATCATCATAACTGTTTAACATTGAGTTCATGGAGGTCCTTTTGGTTTTGTTACAGCAGCAGAGACAGTGGTGGATCCAGAAATGACACCGTACTTAGACATAGCTAACCAGACAGGCAGATCAATCAGAATTCCCCCATCAGAAAGAAAAGTAAGTACTATGAGAAATGTGTGGCCTGTTCTTAGATTTGTTGTCAGGGCAGAGGTGGTTTTTTAGTTGCTTTATGTTGGAAGTGTTGTAAAGGGTTGGAAACAGTGCTCCATCTCCAGCCTCGTAAACAGAAAATGTCACCACGTGGTGAGCACTGGCATCCAATGGGCCTCACCCTGTGCTTTTCAGCGCATTAGTACAAAATGTCATGTCTCACTGTCCTGGAGCAGTGACTTTCAACATACCTGAGGACACGACCCACTGCCTTCAGTGCATGCAGCTTCCTGTGGCAGTGCTTTACATTTAGTTTATTTTACTAGAGAACCTTGTCCCCTAAGGGATGGATCAGAATAGGGGTAGGGAAACTGTGTCGTTTGGGAAAAGTCCACAGGTGATTCTGACTTCTCTTCCCTATTTCCTCATACTCTTTCCCTGTTCTATAATTTGGGATAGGTAGGCGGAGGTTTAATCTTAAACATATCTGTGGGTTTTTTGTTTGTTTTTTTGTTTTTGAGACGGAGTTTTGCTCTTGTTGCTCAGGCTGGAGTGCAATGGCTCAGTCTCAGCTCACTGCAACCTCCGCCTCCTGGGTTCAAGTGATTCTCCTGCCTCAGCCTCCTGAGTAGCTGGGATTACAGGCATGTGCCACCACGGATGGCTAATTTTGTATTTTTAGTAGAGACAGGGTTTCTCCATGTTGGTCAGGCTAGTCTTGAACTCCCGACCTCAGGTGATTTGCCCACCTTGGCCTCCCAAACTGCTGGGATTACAGGCGTGAGCCACCGAACTCTGCCGTGTTTTTGTTTTTTTAAGACACAGGGTCTTGCCCTGTCACCCAGGCTGGAGTACAGTGGCACCATCATAGCTCACTGCAGCCTTAACCTCCTGGGCTTGAGCGATCCTCCCGCCTCCGCCTTCTGGGTAGCTGGGACTGCAGGTACACACCACCATGTCCAGCTAATTTTTTTTTTTTTTTTTTTTGAGATGGAGTCTCGCTCTGTTGCCATTCTCCTGCTTCAGCCTCCTGGGTAGCTGGGATTATAGGCACGCACCACCATGCCTGGCTAACTTTTGTATTTTTAGTGGAGACAGGGTTTTGCTATGTTGACCAGGCTGGTCTTGAACTCCTGACCTCAGATGATCCGCCCGCCTCGGCCTCCCGAAGTTCTGGGATTACAGGTGTGAGCCACTGCACCCAGCCCCTTGGGGGCCTCTATAGCAGCATTCTGGAACTTGGACTCTAAGATCAATCTCTGAGAAAGGGTTCAGTAGCTTCTTATAATGAATGACTATGGGTCAAATTAATTTTAATTTTTCTGTTTTTAAGGGATGGTTTTGAGTAGGCTTCATTCTATGAGTTACTCTGTTTAAAATTAAAGATTAAAGTTTTTTTTTTTTTTTTCTTGAAAAGGAGTCTTACTCTGTTGCCCAGGCTGGAGTGCAGTGGTGCGATCTCAGCTCACTGCAGCCTTCGCCTCCCTGGTTCAAGCAATTCTCCTGCCTCAGCCTCCCAAGTAGCTGGGAGTACAGGTGTGCCCCACCATGCCTGGCTAATTTTTGTATTTTTAGTAGAGACGGGGTTTCGCCATGTTGGCCAGACTGTTCTTGAACTCCTGACCTCAGGTGATCCACCCACCTCGGCCTCCCAAAGTGCTGGGATTACAGGCATGAGCCACTGCGCCCGGCCGGATTAAAGTTGTTTTCATAACAGAACTGTGGATCAGTGTTTGAGTTATCAGTAGATTGATGTTTGTCTTTTTTTGTGTGTGTGTGAGGCGGAGTCTCGCTCTGTCATCAGGCTAGAGTGCAGTGGCACAATCTTGGCTCACTGCAACCTCCGCCTCCCGGGTTCCAGCGATTCTCCTGCCTCAGCCTCCTGAGTAGCTGGGACTACAGTGCACGCCACCATGCCCAGCTAATTTTTGTATTTTTAGTAGAGACGGGGTTTCACCATGTTGGCCAGATGGTCTCAATCTCTTGACCTCGTGATCCGCCTGCCTCGGCCTCCCAAAGTGCTGGGATTACAGGTGTGAGCCACTGTGCCCGGCCAATGTTTGTCTTTTGAAAATGATGATTACTTGCCCACTGCTCTCTTACATTGAATGACGACATCCAGATCTTTTTGGAAAACCTTTATCACAGGGGTTCCCACCCCACAGGCTGCAGATGGGTACCAGTCCGTGGCTTGTTAGGAACTGGGCCACATAGCAGGTGAGCAGCAGGCAAGTGAGCGTCACCGCCTGAGCTCCACCTCCTGTCAGATCAGCGGCGGCATTAGAGTCTTAGGAGCATGAACCCTATTGTGAACTGGGCATGTGAGGGATCTAGGCTGTGCACTCCTGATGAGAATCTAATGCCTGATGACCTGAGGTAGAATGTTTTCACCCTGAAACCATCTGCCTTCCTCCTTGTCCATGGAAAAATTGTCTTCCATGAAAGCAGTCCCTAGTGCCAAAAGGTTGGGACTACTGCTTTATCAGACTGAATTATGCGAACATTTAAATTGAAAAATCTAATGAACTTCAAAAAATTTTGGATCACCTTTTAAAAATTGTTTTGGGGCCGGGCGCGGTGGCTCACGCCTGTAATCCCAGCACTTTGGGAGGCCGAGGTGGGTGGATCACAAGATCAGGAGATCGAGACCATCCTGGCTAACACAATGAAACCCCATCTCTACTAAAAATACAAAAAAATTAGCCAGGCGTGGTGGTGGGCGCCTGTAGTCCCAGGTACTCGGGAGGCTGAGGTGGAAGAATGGCGTGAACTCGGGAGGCAGAGGTTGCAGTGAGCCGAGATCGCGCCACTGCACTCCAGCCTGGAAGACAGAGCGAGACTCTGTCTCAAAAAAAAAATAAAATAAAAAAATTTGTTTTGGAAATACTAAAGTTGACAAACAACTTCTGAAAAAACTAGATGATTAAGAATAGAAAGTGAGGCCGGGCACGGTGGCTCATGCCTGTAATCCCAGCACTTTGGGAGGCCGAGGCGGGCAGATCACGAGGTCAGAAGATCGAGACCATCCTGGCTAACACGGTGAAACCCTGTCTCTACTAAAAATACAAAAAAAAAAATTAGCCAGGCGTGGTGGTGGGTACCTGTAGTCCCAGCTACTTGGGAGGCTGAGGCAGGAGAATGGTGTGAACCTGGGAGGTGGAGCTTGCAGTGAGTCGAGATCGCGCCACTGCACTCCAGCCTGGGTGACAGAGCGAGACTCTGTCTCAAAAAAAAAAAAAGAATAGAAAGTGAAATGAATGCCCTTTTTAAAGATACAAGCAGCCGGGCACCGTGGCTCACGCCTGTAATCCCAGCATTTTGGGAGGCCAAGGCGGCACATCACCTGAGGTCGGGAGTTTGAGACCAGCCTGGCCAACATGGTGAAACCCCATCTCTACTAAAAATACGAAATTAGCCGGGCATGGTGGCTCATGCCTGTAGTCCTAGCTGCTCGGCAGGCTGAGGCAGGAGAATCGCTTGAACCCAGGAGGCAGAGGTTGCAGTGACCCGAGATCGCACCACTGCCCTCCAGCCTGGACGACAGAATGAGACTCCGTCTCAAAAAAATAAAATAAATAAAATAAAAATGATACAAGCATTACTGGCTGCTTTTTAATATGTTTAGTCTGAATAGAATATTAGAAGTAGAATCCAGATCAGTGGATACGAAAATAAACTAATGAAAGCAAAGGGCCAAGTGCTGGTTAGGATTGTATCAGCTATAATAAATGAAGTGTTTGGCTTCAGTATTTAAATGAAATAAAGCTTTAATTAATTATATTTTTCTTAATTTTGGCTTTTAGATTGAGTTATGATCTTGTTTTCATTTTTTTTACTTTGTTTTTTAAAAAGTAATATGCTTTTAATATAATTTGCCTTATTATATTTTAAAGTGATGTTTTTTAAATTTGTATTTTTTCCTAGGCCCTTATGTTAGCTATGGGATATCATGAGAAGGGCAGAGCTTTCCTGAAAAGAAAAGAATATGGAATAGCCTTGCCATGTCTGTTGGACGCTGACAAATATTTCTGGTAGGCGCTTTTGTACTTGGTGAACACCAGCTTTAAGGAAGATGGCCCAGACTATACAGAACACCCTGCCATGCCCTTGAGACTGCAGACTTTCATCTACAACAGTGGTTAATGTAAAAGAGTAGTTATGGTGTAAACTGGTGAATTTCTTCTTCCCTTTGTATTTCTAATTGACCTTTCCTCCCTGTAAAGAAAAGAATTTTCAAGCAGGTAGGATATCCTCTCTTCTTCTGTACATGTGCTATGTTGCTAGTCGGAACTTTCCATTATAAAGTTTCCTGTCAGCTTTTCACCTAATGGTTTTGGGGTAGTATTGATGATTATTCCTCAAATCCGTTGTTTAAGAGCTGTATAATGGTGATATTATTCCTTCTGTACTTATTTTTTTTGAGACAGAGTCTCACTCTGTCACCCAGGCTGGAATGCAGTGGCATGATCTCAGCTCACTGCAACTTCCATCTCCTGGGCTCAAGTGATCCTCCCACCTCAGCCTCCTAAGTAGCTGGGATCACAGGTGCACATCACCACAGGTGCACATCACCATGCCCAGATAATTTTTTTGTATTTGTTGTAGAGATGAGGTTTCACTATGTTGCCCATACTAGTCTCAAACTCCTGGGCTCAAGTGATCCACCCACCACAGCCTCTCAAAGTGCTGGTATTACAGGTGTGAGTCGCTGTGTCGGCTTTTTTTTTTTTTTTTTTTTTTTAATTATACAGATGGGGTCTCCCTGTGTTGCTCAGGCTGATCTTGAACTCCTGGACTCATGTGATCCTCCTGCCTTGGCCTCCCAAAGTGCTGGGATTACAGGTGTGAGCCACCGCACCCAGCCTCCCTTCTGCATTTATTGCTGGAATTCTGAAAAATTTGTTTTTGCTCATCAGTTATTTTATATGTGGAGGTACAATTTGTATAGGAAAGTTAGAATAAAATACTTTGTTTCTTTCTCCTTATTTTCTTGTTTTCAG
The DNA here is from genome assembly GCF_000001405.40 of Homo sapiens. Taxonomy (NCBI): domain Eukaryota; kingdom Metazoa; phylum Chordata; class Mammalia; order Primates; family Hominidae; genus Homo; species Homo sapiens. The sequence goes on from NC_000007.14 coordinate 151,361,217, forward strand.
AATAAATGAGTTGCTTCACTATCACCCTCCAAAGGTGACCAAAGAGGTTTCTTTTTCTTTTCATTTTCTTAAGTGTCATTATTAACTCATGGATTTAAAACATTTGATGTGTTTCAAACTTCAGTGCTTAAATTGGTCATGCTGGCTGGCAGGCAGCCCATGTTTTTTTGACCTGACCCTGCTAGTCTTTGCAGTCTCTGATTTCTGGAATCCAAAGATACTCCAGGCTCATCTTGGGCATTTAATGCCCAGACCAGGAATCAGCAATTTCCCAAGGAGTCCTGGTTCCTCTTCATGGGAAACGGTACTAAGAGACTATGATGCAGACATATTCAACATTTGAAAAGTAGACTTGATTTTTTGAAAATGGTCAAAAGTTAACAAATTTAGTGTTAACTTCTTTTCTGTTTTGGTGCATTCCCAAGATAATACTGTATACTCCCAGAAGATGAATGCAAATATTTATAGTTTTCCATTGGTCAGTGCCTTTGGGTTCTAAGTGAACAAGTCCCAACTTTAACGTACACAAAAAAGGAATTGGGAGGGGAGGGGCCGGGCTGGGAATAGTGAGAATGAGGGCTGGTTTGTGCTTCTGGGGTCTCTGTCTCTGCCTCTTTCTGGATGTCAGTTTCATTCTCTTCTGCAAACAGTGTAGGGTAAACAGGCTTTAAATTAGGTCCTAAAAGTTTAGGTAAATTTTTCATTCCCTTCCATAGTTGTTTCTAATTTTTTATTATGGAAAATTTCAAATAGTCATAAAAATAAAAATTAGTATAATGAGCTTCCATATACACTCATAACTAAGCTTCTGCAGTTATAAAGACATGGTTGATCTTCATACATCTGTGTGAGCCTCCCTCAATCTTTTTATCCTGGACAAATCCTTGAAATAATTTTTAGGTCTCAGGGAACCATTGAATACAAATTTGGCTACATCTTCAGTTCATGATACATTAACATGTCCGGTAAGTGGTAGGTATAATAATGAAATAATAATTAACAATGTCTTTCTAAGTAGAGAAAGTTTTTTTTTTCCTGGGCATCTATTTATCCTGGGCATCTATTTATCCTGGCCAACTTGTTAGCATATTTTTGTGTGTGTGTGATTTCTCTCTTTTCATAAAGGAAATCAGCAGTAATGTAAGCCAAATAGAATGCAGATGGAGGAAACTTCAGTTTTTCCATTTCCTTTTCCATTTGACTTTTCCCCCTTACTTCTCCAAGTAAGCTAGAAGTTTTGTCACAACTTCCTACCATATGTCTTGGAGTATGGTATGTAGTATGACCAAGAATAGTTTCTTTCCCCAAATTGTATGAAACAGTGACTTCCTGGCAGTGCAGAACGGTGACCCTGAGGTAGGGAAACATGAGGGGAGCTCAGTGTCTGGAGAAGTTTCAGGTTACGGGGCAGGGAGGGCAAACCCAGGCAGAGCCTTGTGCTCCCTGGAGTTAAAGAGATGGAGCTGGGCTTGCAGGAGGCCAAGGAGGTGAGAGGAGCAAGCTGCCAGAGAGAGGGTGTCAGAGAGCTTCAGAGGAGCCCTTTTGAGTCTTCTGCTCAGTAATGATCAGCACATGTGTGTGAGGAAACCGCCCAGGGCTGGGCAAGGTACCACATGAAAGAAGCAGGGAATAATCCTCCGAGTTCATAGAAGGCCAGGAATAGTTTATGTTCCCACCAGCCAGAGTGGAGGATTTGGTAGTCACAGGGCGTCAAATAGAGTCTTCAGAAGGGTGTTGCCTCAGCACTAGGGCATAATTTGGTTTCACTTAACAAAGCTTAAAAGCTACTCCTGAACAGTACCCTTAACTTACCGTTTTCAAATAAGTGCATCCCTAACAAAACTCAATAATTTAGCAATTCAAAAATATCCAGCATCCACTGAAAAATTAGCAGGCATGCAAAGAAACAAGCAAATGTAACCTATAACAAGCAAAAAAATCAGTCAGTAGCAACAGATCCAGAAGTGACACAGAAGATAGAATTAGTAGACAAGGACATTAAAACAGTGACTGTAATCCATCTGCTGAAGAAGGCAGAGGAACAACTGAACATGTCAGATAAAGACATGGGAGACATTCAAAAGACCCACATTAGAATGTAAGAGATGAAAAGTACAACATCCAAGATGAAAAGTACATTAGGTGGGATGAACTGCAGAATAGACACTATAGAAGAGAAGATTAGTTAAATGTTACATAAGGCAATAGAAACTATCTGAAAAAACAGAGAAAAGGCTAAAAAAAAAAAAAAATGAACAGAGCATCTGCAAGCTGTGGCACAATTTCAGGCGGCCTAAAATGCATGTAATTGGAGTCCCTGGAAAGGCAGACATGTGGGACAGAAACAATACTTGAAGAAAAAAATGGCCATTAATTTTTCCCAGTTTGATGAAAACTATAAACCCCCAGATGCAATGACTTTAATGACCCCAAGTACAAGAAATATCAGAAAAAAACTACACTACAGCACACTATAATCCAATTCCCTAAAACCAGTAATAAAATTGAAAATGACTTTTTAGCTAACCTTTCTTGAAAAAAGTTAGGTAAGTTTGGCTTATTTTTTTATTTTATTTTTTCAGACGGAGTCTCACTCTGTCGCCCAGGCTGTAGTGCAGTGACGCAATCTTAGTTTACTGCAATCTCCGCCCACTGTAACCTCTGCCTCCTGGGTTCAAGCGATTCTCCTGCCTCAGCCTCTCAAGTAGCTGGGATTACAGGTGCCCACTACCACTCCCGACTAGTTTTTGTATTTTTAGTAGAGACGGGGTTTCACTATGTTGGCCAGGATGGTCTTGAACTCCTGACGTCAGGTGATCCGTCCGCCTCAGCCTCCCAAAGTGCTGGGATTACAGGTGTGAGCCACCGCGCCTGGCCTAAAATTTTTATGTTAAATAAATATTAATTTCAAGAAAGGTAAGCCTGGCCGGGCGCGGTGGCTCACGCCTGTAATCCCAACACTATGGGAGGCCGAGGCAGGCAGATCACGAGGTCAGGAGATCAGACCATCCTGGCTAACAGGGCGAAACCCCGTCTCTACTAAAAATACAAAAAATTAGCCGGGCATGGTGGCAGGCGCCTGTAGTCCCAGCTACTTGAGAGGCTGAGGCAGGAGAATGGCAGGAACCCGGGAGGCGAAGCTTGCAGTGAGCCGAGATTGCACCACTGCACTCCAGCCTGGAGGAGAGAGCGAGACTCCGTCTCAAAAACAAAAACAAAAAAAAACAAAAAAAAAAACAAAAAAACTGTAAGACAAACATAATAAATTTCTGTTAAATAACCGACTTAAGCTCAAATGGGATTTAATTTTTGTTGTTGTTGTTTTTGAGACGGAGTCTCGCTCTGTCGCCCACGCTGGAGTGCAATGGCACGATCTCGGCTCACTGCAACCTCCGCCTCCTGGGTTCAAGCAATTCTCCCACCTCAGCCTCCCGAGTAGCTGGGATTACAGGCACCCGCCATCATGCCCCGCTAATTTTTGTAGAAATGGGGTTTCACCATGTTGGCCAGGCTGGTCTTGACCCTCTGACCTCAGGTGATCTGCCCGCCTCGGCCTCCCAAAGTGCTGGGATTACAAGCGTGAGCCACTGTGCCTGGCCAGGATTTAATTTTTTGAAAGCTAGGCTCAGTAGATTTTATTTAAATAAATATTTTACGTTTATTTTAATATCGTCAGCATGAAAATGTAACAGTGTTGAATATTAATGCTACTAAAATTGTAAACCAAAGCAATGTTAATAAAAGTACACTCTAAATGAAATTTTTTATTTTTATAATTTTTTTTTTTTCTTTAGAGACAGAGTCTCTATGTTGTTCAGGCTGGTCTCAAACTCTTGGGTTCAAGTGATTTTCCTGCCTCGGCCTCCCAAAGTGCTGAGATTACAGGTGTGAGCCACCACACCCAGCCTTCTAAATGCAATTTATACCAGGCTTTAAGAAACCACTTTGCCCCAAGCAAATGATCAGGTTTAAATATAGTTTTATATATAATAATAAGTGTTGATTTCTCAAAACTAAAAGGATGACATGTACCCCTCTAATATGAGACCTCTGCTTTGGGTTTTTTGTGTGTTTGTTCATTTTGTTGGTTTTCTTCTCTCTCTTTTTTTTTTTTTTGGCTGCACAAATAAATACTCACTCCTGGGTCAAACTTGAGATAAGTGCATATTGATTTTATTTTTAACTGACATGAGGCCATTTCTGCCCACGCTCTTGATGCTTAGTAAAACATGAACGAGCCTGTTAAAGCAACATGCAGGAGATGGAGAAGTTCGGCCACATGCCCATTGCTTTCCTGCGAGTGGCAGGAGAGTCTTCTGTCACTGGGACCAGAATGTGCCTAGAGGCAGGAAATCTCAACACGACTGTGAGATCAGACCACAATCCACAAAGCGCTGCTGTTTCTCTCAAAGGCAGGTTCTCAGGCTGAGCCGTAGATTTGGAGAAAGCACCCCTCACCCAGCTCCACATCTGTGTGTCTGCGTGCACACGTGTGTAAAACATGGTGTATGTGTTCTCAAACATTCACGAAATTAGAAATGTTGAGAGAGATGAAAATAAATATAAAAATACTGCTGTGATACATTTTTCTTGCCGCACCCACAACTGGACTGTGTACATGGGCCCTCTTTAGGAGACTACTGTTTTAAAGAGTAAATGACAAAATTAAAGTCCTTTTTTTTTTATTCCATGCATATTTTGATAGGCAGGACAGGAAGCTTGAGGCCATGTGGATTTTGTAGTTTTATACAAGAGCATTCTTATTTTTAGTAGAACACCAATGAACATAAAGAGAGAAAACCTTGTTCATATACAATGTGTGGTTCCAAATGTTCTTATTGAAGACTTGAGACCTAGATTGGCATTAGGAATTTTTAATGTAATCATAACTTAAAATTAGTCACCTTGATGGCTGTCTTTGTCAGTGCTCCTCCTGGAGCACACTGACTTCTGTTGCTGTCTTTCTTCCCTTTGCTGCGCCTGGGTTCAGCCTGCTGCCACGAATACGGAGTCAAATTTTGCCTGCACACAGGCCCTCAGAAATCAGCTGGGCCGTTAGAGCCTGGTGCTTTCTGGATTGTTTTTCCCCCAGCTTGAATATGATTGAACATGAATGCCTTGTCAGAGCCGTCATCAGCTGAGGCATTCATAGTACGTAGGGATTTTTTTGGTGTCTTTAAAGAAGTGGTGTTCAGCCCTGGCTGTACACTAGAATCAGCTGGGGAGACTCTGGCAGTATAACCACCAGGCCCAACCCCCAGAAATTTCTGTTATGTTTGGTCTGGGTGGGATCAATGATTCTTAAAGAAAGAAAGAAAGAAAGAAAGAACGTTGCTCTGGCCCAGGTGATGCTGATTTGCAGTCAGGATTGGAAGTCACAGCTTTAAAGCATGGTCTTCCCCGTATTTGCTGAGGGCCTCTGAAACAGTGGCCCTGGGTTCTGCTTCCTATCAAGGGGCTGCATGTGTGTCCTGGGGCAAGTGGTGGTAAGCTTTGATTCCTAAGCCCTGATTTCTGATTTCTCTTTCTTTCCCCCATTAGAAGGATGAGATTATAAACACAGCTCCCTTCCTAAACATTAGGATCTCTCTTTTAGAGCAGTCAGCCTTTGAATATATACCAAGAACGGGGAAAGAATTCCAGTCATTCACAAAAAGGTTTCAAATGCTAAAAATGTTTCAAATGCTGCTTGGCAGTGATGTCACTGTCCTTCTCTTTCCAGTGAGTGTTGCAGAGAGCTGCTGGACACAGTGGATAACTACGCCGTCCTCCAGCTGGATATAGTGTGGTGTTACTTCCGCCTGGAACAGCTGGAATGCCTTGATGATGCAGAAAAAAAATTAAACTTGGCCCAGAAATGCTTTAAAAATTGTTACGGAGAAAATCATCAGAGACTGGTCCACATAAAAGTATGTTCCTGGAATTCATCTTATGTCTCGTTGAGTCCATTTCTAGCATTTGTGTTTATTCCTGTTAAAGTATTTGAACTACTGCCAGAAGGTAATTTCATTTTGATAGTAGTATGCAGTATAGTCTTTTTAAACTATATATTTATAAAGTGTTCAATGTTTTACAAATCTGGCTGTCTCTCTTACTTAGCGTGTGAGCATTTAGCCCAAAGGAACATGGTTTGCTAGTCATAGAACCCCATCAGTGATCACCCTGACCAGGAGAGAGCTGCTGACTTCTTTATATCGGTAGAGTCTAATTTGCAAGATGTAAATGCAGAAAATAGACATTTCAGCAGTAATGGTTTACGTGAATGAGTCACAGCTCAAGAGCTGTGGCTCGAGTAAGGATTTTTCTGATTTCCCCAAGTCATCAAAATCCTGCTGATGCAGACTCTCTGATACCTGGTTTGGATTTCTGCATACTTCTCTGCTGACCAGAAGGGCCACTGTGCTGCATGTCTGGAGGCTGGTGCCCTGACACTGACTCTCCTGTGTGGCATGAGGAATGTTATCATACCACAGGGGATGGGGAAGAGGGGGCTTCACTTTTGCCGTCAGTCATAGTGAAGCCATGGACATTTTAATACCTATCATGTTGCCCCTCTGGAGACCAAGGGAATGACAGAGATGAGTATTATAGACCTGTAATTAGAAATAAGGCAATTTTATCCTTTTTTTCTTCAATAATTTTAGGGAAATTGTGGGAAAGAGAAGGTACTGTTTCTAAGACTCTACTTACTTCAAGGGATCCGAAACTATCACAGTGGAAATGATGTAGAGGCTTATGAGTATCTTAACAAGGTAAGAAAAGTAAAGTTGTAACCAATTTTCACCTCCTTTTAAAAAACATTCCCAGAAGTTAAGGATTTTAACTTAGTAGTTTGTGACTTGTGAGAAACATGCCTGTGCTTTCTCCGTGCACAGGAGATGTTGAACCAGAAACATATTTGTATATGTTAGAGTACAGCCAGATGCTGTAATGAGACTTCAAAAAGACAGTGACTTTAATTGGATAGAAGTTTATGGCTCACTCATCTTGCCGTCTAGAGGTGAGCCAGGCCGGAGCAGTGAGCAGCCCGCCAGCCTCAGCGAGGCGTCCTAGGTTGCTCCTGTCAGTGCCTCTTCCAGCCAGCAGAGGGGGCAAGAGAGAGTCCAGAGCAGGCCACTGGAGAGATGACCCCGCAGCTGCACCCAGCGCTGTGGCTGCATGCCATTGACTTCGACTTCACTACCTGGCTACACCCAGCTGCAAGGGAGGGTGAGAAATGCCACGTGCACAGCTGAAATTCGGGGGCTTTTGTTGCAAAAACAAAGTGGTTACCAGTCACTTCTGCAACACCCAGCCTCTTACCTCGTGTTGTGCTGTGGCTAAGTTATGTGAGTAGAGGTAGTGTTGGTCTGTTTCCATTTGTACTTGTTAATAACAGGCCTAGTTTAGAGATTTTATCCAAAATCTGATGCCTTTTAATTCACATTGGATACAATCTAATTTCTTTTAGGCTTTCACTTTGTATTAAGCTTTAAGTATTGCCGTGGTTACATGATTCTTACATTTCCCTGTCTCTAGGCACGTCAGCTCTTTAAAGAGCTATATATTGATCCATCAAAAGTGGACAATTTGTTGCAGTTGGGGTTTACTGCCCAGGAAGCCCGGCTTGGCCTGAGGGCGTGTGATGGGAACGTGGATCATGCGGCCACTCATATTACCAACCGCAGAGAGGTACCCACTTTCACATGCCCTAGCTCTCTTGGGTATGAAAGAACAAAAAAAGATAATCCCACAGGAGTGTTAATAACCAGGAACTCTTTATTACTCCAGATTGGGAAGGAAGGAGAAACTTGTCCTTTTTTTTTTCTTGAGACAGAGTCTCACTTTGTCATCCAGGCTGGAGTGCAGTGGCACGATCTTGGCTCACTGCAAGCTCCGCCTCCCGGGTTCAAGCAATTCTCGTGCCTCAGCCTCCTGAGTAGCTGGGATTACAGGTGTGTGCCACCACACCTGGCTAATTTTTGTATTTTTAGTAAAGATGGGGTTTCACCATGTTGGCCAGGCTGTTCTCAAACTCCTGACCTCAAGTGATGCGCCCACCTCAGTTTCCCAAAGTCCTGGGATTACAGGTGTGAGCCACCGCGCCTGGCCGAAACTTGTCTTTTTCAATTGGATCATTTTTCACATGCTGCAGTCTCCTTAGTTTTGTTTCCTGCTGTGGTGGCAAACGGTCCCCTCTCTCTCTTTCTTTAACACCATAGTGTATTTCTGGAAGTCATTTTAAAAACAAAATTGTTTTTTCATGAGGTCATTATTAAAGTTGGGGATTGCATCCTTGCCTAGAAACATAAGTCAAATCATAGAAACAAGTTGTATTATATTATGAAAGCACAGGTTAAAAAACTATAATCATTTGAAACAATTAAGTACATTAAAGAAAACCTTAGAATTTTGGAGTTGGAAGCATCCTTATTCTATCCAATATGTTCTGCAGTGAAAGAACTGAGGTCTAGAGGGCGGTCATGGTGGAATATTAGCAGGAGAGCCATTTTTCTTCTTGCCAAAACAAGAAGTTGGTACTAGATTATCTCACAGGTCCTTTCTAGCTGTAAACTCCAGCCATAGAAGTCTCTAGAATCTTCACATGTATGTTACCTCGTTTCCCTTTTTGCTAAACACTAGGATAATCCTGAAGGAAAAAAGCAGCCTCAGGGGTATTTGGATGGGAGCAGGAAAGCCCCGTGGTTGTTTGCCTACCTGATGCCAGAGAGGGAGTGGATTCGTGGGTTCATTCCGTGGTGAGCAGTCACAGGGTTTCTCCTTTTACAACACCAGCTGTGGTCATTACCTTTCTCTCTTGCCTAGTCCAATCGTGGTCCTTTGGGTCTTGCTATAGAAGTCAATGAGTAGGTAAAGGCAGAGACTTTGAAAAGCTGAGTTCTTTTTTTTTTTTTTATTCCAGAGTCTCACTCTGTCACCCAGGCTGGAGTGCAGTGGCGTGATCACTGCAACCTCTGCCTCCCAGGTTCAAGTGATTCTTCTGCCTTAGCCTTCTAAGTAGCTGGAATTACAGGTGCCCACCACCACGCCCAGCTTTACTTTTTGTATTTTTAGTAGAGATGGGGTTTTACCAATTTGGCCAGGCTGGTCTCGAACTCCTGACCTCAAGTGATCCTCCCGCCTTGGCCTCCCAAAGTGCTGGGATCACAGGTGTGAGCCACTGCGACCAGCTGAAAAGTTGAGTTCTGTGTGTTTGAGTTTTACATGGTCTAATTCAGTACTAACAGAAAAATGAACATTGCTGATACTGATTTATTGCTTTACTATTACTCCACTACCAGTAAGAATTTATTATTTTTATTTTTATTTATTTTTTCCTTTAATTTTATTTTATTATTATTATACTTTTAAGTTTTAGGGTACATGTGCACAATGTGCAGGTTAGTTACATATGTATACATGTGCCATGCTGGTGCGCTGCACCCATTAACTCGTCATTTAGCATTAGGTATATCTCCTAAAGCTATCCCTCCCCCCTCCCCCCACCCCACAACAGTCCCCAGAGTGTGATGTCCCCCTTCCTGTGTCCACGTGTTCTCATTGTTCAATTCCCACCTGTGAGTGAGAATATGCGGTGTTTGGTTTTTTGTTCTTGCGATAGTTTACTGAGAATGAAGTAAGATTTTATTAGCATCTGGAAAGCTAGTGTTTTAAAATGAGATCATTTGGAAAACAGTTCTCATCACTGTATAAGACTATAGTTCATAAAACATTGTCACACTCATGTCATTCACTTCTGCCTGTGACCAGCCGAGAGGCCACAGGACAGGTACTTCTCATCTTACACATGGGAAGAGCTGTTGCTCAGAGGTGGTCTTTTAAAGTATAGTGGAGTCATATCACTTGTACATTTCTGAAGTTAAAAGCCCTTGGAGAAAATGCAAATAAAAAAACCAGTGTATATAGTGCAGTTGATCCTTCTCCCTCTTCCACCCAACAGATGTTGTTAGTTACGATGCCTTTGGCTGAAAGCAACAACAACAACAAAAAACCCAAAATGGCCTAAACATCAAAACAAGGGATGTGGTGGGATTTATTGGCCGTTTACTTGTAAAAAGTCCAGAAGTAGGATAGGTCTCAGGGTTAGGTGATTCATTCAGTGGCTTACTGATGTCACTGAGGACCTGAGGTCTGTCTTTTACCCCCACCCCCCACCCCATGTCATCAGTGTCATCCAGTCACAACAAGGGCCATAATCTGTGTCCCAGAATCCTCAGGGAAAATCCTGAGCTTCTTGTGATTGGGCAGCCTTGAACCTGTCACTGAGGCTGGAGGAACGCCAAGACTGGCTCAGGCCTGTGGCAAGAGATAGAGGGTTGCCACCTTAGCCCATTCAGGGGCCACCTGGGGAGCTGGAGCAGCCTCCCACACCTCAGGGAGGGGTAGAATGGGTGCTGGAAAGACAAAAACAATGTCCCACAGAAAGTGAGCTCCTATCGGAGCTTTAGATGAGCAAGAGAAATCTGCTGCCCTCGGAGTTCCAACGTTCTAGGTATGAGCATCTGACTGAGCTGAATGTAAAACAATTCGTTCATGTTTTTGTTTGAGACAGAGCCTTGCTCTCTTGTCCAGGCTGGAGGGCAGTGGCGTGATTATGGCTCACTGCAACCTTGATCTCCCGGGCTCCAATGATCCTCCTGCCAAGAGCTCTCGGCTGATTTTTATTTTTTTGTAGAAATGGGGTCTCACCATGTTGCCCAGGCCAGTCTCAAAACTCCTGGGTTCAAGCAGTCCTCCCACCTTGGCCTCCCAAGGTGCTGGGATTACAGGTGTGAGCCACTGCACCCAGCCTTTAATACATAATTATTAAAAGTTTATATTTTTTGTGCAATATGGCCCTGAGTACAGACCAGTTTCTCATCTGAGAAAAGCAACAGCTGTAGAAACGGAGCTCACAGATCATGCTTCGGCATGGCCAGGCCGTGAGACGTAGCCTTCCTAAGAGGCCATCCCAGCTTGTTGTGACCATACAGTGCCTCTCTCTTGAGATCTGATTCTACTTAACTGTAGCCACTTCAGTGCAGTACTCACTGTCATTGATTTGATCTACTTTATCTTTCTAACTCATCTTAGTATAAAGAGAAATTTCAGAAAATAATGTTCTCACATGTGTTTACATGATTAAAAGGAAACAGACTAAGACATTTGTAATGAAAGGAAGTATTCTTCGAAGCTCCCAGTTGGTGTGAGGTCTGTGTTAGGTAATGCCCAGGTCCGCTGGCTGGCAGCGTCCTTCTCTGTGCTTGGATGTTAGGTGCGCTTCTTAGCCTTTTGGAATATAAATGGAAGAAACTGTATTGAAAGCAGAGGATGGGGCCAGTAAAGGCATTTTACATGGAGTATGTGTAAATAAAAGTGCAAATGTGAGTGGTATGAAAGACTCCTGCTGGCATGTGTGGTTGGGGTGGTGTGGCAGGATAAGGTCAGTTTCGAAGCATTGTTGGGGCCAGGGAGTGGGGGCCCTGAGTAGCAGAATAAGGAGCTGGTGCCTCAGTGTGGGGAGGTGGTCAGGAGCTGCTGCGGGCTTTCAGGTAGGTGACTGGAATGACGGAGCCTGCTGCCCTGTGCAGCGGGGCTGGAGCTGGGGGAGACTGGCCACTGAGAGGTAGAGCACGTAATGGGGGCATGAGACAGGCCTGGTGCAGCTGAAGGGGAAGCAAAGGGAGCTGGCGCTGTGGGCACTCCAGGGCCACACCAGGAGGTTCTCCTGTGATAGAGACAGGCCATGAGTCTACAGATGTCTTCATCCCTGGAGATGTTTCCAGCAGCCACTCTGTTCTGCCTGCTCCTACTGTGGGGCCTGTGGAGTCTGGTTCCACAATGATGATGCTTTTGTTTTCCTAAGAGATGAGGCCGCTTTCCTGCTGTGGGGAAAATGCAGGGAGGCGCCTGTTGCCTGGGCTGGGCAGGAGGCAGGATCAGGTCTCTGGAAGGAAGGAGTCTGTTTTCTCCCCCGTCCTCGCTGCTGCTGATGGTGGGGCTGGTCTCCCTGGGAGAATGTAGCAAGTCACTTAACTTTGTTGAAAGCTTTCTGTCTCCTTGTTGGGAAAATAATGAGGTTGGATTAAATTCCTGGTTTTCAAACTTGCTTTGTTGTTGTTGTTTTTAAGCAGCAAAATCCCCTTTTTAAATGACATTTTTATGGGGATACTAGTTTACAAAATAAATTGGGAACTCTCCTGATTGGCCCTGGGTGGGAGAGGTGAAGAGACTAGAACCCTCTGCAGCCGTCCTGCGCTCCTGCAGCAATAGCAGGCAACTCTGAGAAACAGGGTTGAGAACCAAGAGGTTAGATGACCTTTGTCTCTGGGCACTCTGTGGGTTCCGAATGGAATGACAGGCCTCAGAAGGCCCTGGAGTCCTTGCTCCCCAGGCTGTGGGGGGCGGGTCACCAGCTTTGGCATTGCCCAGGAGCCCCTGATTCCACATCACATTTTAACTTGAATCCCTGGGCGATTCATCGAAGGCTGGAAGGCCTTCCCACCGCGTGCAGAAGCTCTCCTACCCGGTTCCTACCTGGTTCCTAGAAGAGAATCCATGCACCTCACACCCGCGACCTCTGCAGTGGGAGTGCTGGGTTGGCGAGCAGCCCATCCTGATGCCGGATGGTGGATGGCGGGGCTGGCGAGGCACCTCCTTCCTGCCCCACGGGCATCTCACTTCCACTGCCTGCCTCAGAAGCAGCACTTCCACCACCCCTCTGCCTCTGTGGCACCTCTGCCATTTGGCTGGGTGAGGAGAGGTAGAAAGAGGGCCCCCTGTGCTTTGCTTTGGTTTTTTGGCTTTGCCTGGAAATGCGGAGAATCCTGCAGAGCGCAGACTGAGAGGCTGTGAAATCTCAGTCCCTAACTTGGGATGGGACTTTGCTGTTTTCCTAAAGGAACTGGCCCAAATAAGGAAGGAGGAAAAAGAGAAGAAAAGACGCCGCCTCGAGAACATCAGGTTTCTGAAAGGGATGGGCTACTCCACGCACGCGGCCCAGCAGGTACTCCACGCAGCCAGCGGGAACTTGGATGAGGCCCTGAAGGTAGCAGCTCCCTCGGGGCCTCTGGCCTTGTCCCTGAGCAGTGGGTCCTGCCCAGAGCTCCCTCCATGGCTCTCCAGCATCCTCCCGGGCTCACTCCTATGGGCTGCCCCGTCATCCGGATCTGAAGGGCAGGTTTCTCCTGGGCTCCAGCCCAGACACAGGCTGCGTGAGGCCACGTGAGGCCCCATGCTCAGTGCTTGGCCCAGGCCTGGCTCCAAAACGTGGTGCCTGTCCACACCAGCACAGTCCACAGGCCAGGACTTTGTGTAGGGTTTCTGTGTGCAGCAGAGTTTAGTGAAACAGGCAGTTTCCACGGCAGAAAAAAGAGAATGGGAATTCAACTTGTAGTATAATTGTTTGGCATTAAAATTTTAAATGTAAGTATCTAGTTTTATTTATTTAGTCCATCGTACATGTTGGCAAAGGGAGAGCTTTTCAAAGAACCCCTCAGGAGTGACAGCAGGTTGGGATCCAGACAGCAGTGACTTTACCTGGGCCACTTCCTTCCCTGTGTTGGAGAAGCATATCGAATCCTCAGTAGGGCAGGTGCTGCGCTGCGTCTCAGCAGCTTGGCATGGAACCACCCTCTGCCCTCTCGGCCCCGCAGGTCAGTGAGAGACAAACTCAGAGCACACGTGGTGAGGGGTCCCGAGGGGGTGCACAGGAGGCAGGGGGCTGGCTGTGTGGAGGCAGCAGTCCAGACAGATGCTGGGGCAGCGCGGCGGGCAGGAAGCAGAGTGGTAGGAGCTGGCTTAGGTTGTGCACGTGCTGGGGGCGGGGCTGGGGGGACAGAGATGGGGTTGGAGGGGGTGGGGTGCAGGGCAGGTGTCCTCGTTTGCCCTGCTGAGGCGGGTGTGGGTGCAGCAGGCACGGGGAGTCCACCCTGCCTTTGCCTCTTATCCCTGCCCTGTTCCCCGGAAGGCTCCACAAGTCAGTACTTTTGTAACTATGTACATGTATATTTAACATATACGTTAAATTTTAAATTTTTATTTGAATATCATCTAGTTCGTTTTTTTGTGTGTTGGAGAAATATTAAGAGGTGGGAAATTCTGAATATTCGAAGGGACTGATGGGTCTCAAAATAGATGTGAATTATACGAGTGGCACAAAAATACTTCCAGTCAAAATGGAAGTACTGAGTGTTGGAAAGGAAAGTCTCCACAGGGTCTTTGAAGATTAAGTATTGTGTGATGAAGAAATCAAGGGTCAAAATAACCCTACTACCTGCCTGACATTTTAAGTCTAGAGGGCATGACGCTTTCAAAGATCAATCAGGCAGCCCTGAGCTGCTTGAGACCTTTCTGTCTGTAGCTCTGACAAAACCTGTTTTCTTGGATGCTGCTTCCACCTGCTCTCCATCCCTTCCTGCTCTAACAGAAGGGATCTTTTCCCTGACTAGTCTTGCTCCTCCTTCAAACCCCAGCTGTCCTGGTCTCTGGCTGGAAGCCTTCTGTGAACACCAGCCTGAGTGGGAGCCCCTTTCTCTGCCTCATAGCAGCAGAGGACGGCGGGGTCTGCCTAGCACATGGCAGGGTGCAGCGCCTGTCTGAATGTGTGAAGAGTTCTTAGTGATGGGTAAAGGGTGTTCCTGTGTGTTTTAGATTCTGCTCAGCAATCCTCAGATGTGGTGGTTAAATGATTCCAATCCTGAAACCGACAACCGTCAAGAAAGTCCTTCCCAGGAAAACATTGACCGAGTGAGTGACAGGCCTTTGTGCCCTCAGCTTGGACAGCCTCGGGTGGGGTTGCTTGGGGTAACCCGGGTGAATCAGGCAGCAGGACTGGGGGAGTCCGTGCTGAAACCTTGGCTCCCAGGCTCCAGGTGTAACCTGCCCACCTCAGAGGCCACCCACGCAGTAACAGAGGGCAGGGGAGGCCTCCTTGGAAAGCAGGAAAACTGGGGAAGTGTCAGGAAGTTCTCTTTAGGTTTGCTGCCTTTGTCTATGCACCACTGTTTGCATCAGCCTCATTTCTCTGCCTGTGACCTAAAAGGATGGCACTGTGACCTGGGAAACCCATCCAGCTTTGTATCCCAAGTGACGGCTCTGTCCACATTTGTGCCCCTACACGCGTTAGCACGCCTGTATGCTGTGGCCACTGACCTCGCGGTGCTCGTGGTGAGGCTGGTGTGGCGCCCTGCTCTCAGCCCGAGGTCACTGCCTGTCCTGAGATGGCTGCTCCCTGACGCACCCGACTTGAGTCTTCCAAGCCCCCTTCCAGGTTGCTCTACGCTCACATTGCACAGAAGCATGACTTGTGCACAAAGGGCCATGGTGCACACGCCGGGAGCTCTTAAACATGAGAGTCGGCTGTCCACTCGTATGGCTGACGGGGGTGGCAGAAGAGGCGCCAGGGGCTGATGCTGTGACCCCTGCGCTCTCCCCTAGTTGGTGTACATGGGTTTTGATGCACTCGTGGCCGAAGCTGCGCTGAGAGTGTTCAGAGGCAACGTCCAGCTGGCCGCCCAGACCCTTGCTCACAACGGAGGAAGCCTGCCTCCCGAGCTGCCGCTGTCGCCAGAAGACTCTTTGTCCCCGCCAGCCACGTCCCCTTCTGACTCCGCAGGTAGGTCTGAGGTCTTTGAGGGCCGCATTGAGAGCAAAGTGTCTTCAGAAGCCAACAGATGTGGCCCTAAGCCACGGCAGATGTGGAGACTGAGGGGGCGTCCCCTGACGTCACCGGGCCGGCCACCTGGACAGTGTGGCCAGCAAGAGGCACAGTCTGAGGTTGACTGTGGTCGTGCAGTGTCCCCAGGACAATCCTCACATAATTCACTTACTCCTGCGGTATTTTATTGTAGGAACCTCTAGTGCCTCAACAGACGAAGACATGGAGACAGAGGCCGTCAATGAGATACTGGAAGACATTCCAGAGCATGAGGAAGACTATCTTGACTCAACTCTGGAAGATGAAGAAATTATTATTGCAGAGTACCTATCCTATGTAGAAAATAGGAAGTCAGCAACAAAGAAAAACTAAATAATGAACAGAAATAGCGCTAATTTTCTGCTTATAAATGCTATCATTATGAAAAGGCTAATGCAGCTCTTTCTGTTCTTACTTTTTATCTGAATTACAAGTCCTCTTTGGGTGTAGGAGGGGGTGGGCAGGGGACAAGTCCAGGAGGGGTCCCAGGGCCTTCATGCGTGGTCTCGGGGAAGAAGCTTCCTCTGGCCTGGCGCAGGCCGTTCCATCTGCCTCCCAGGTCTGCGTCCCTAACCCCTTCCCCAGCTTGGTGTTTTACCCCGAAACAGGAAGGAACAGGGGTCCTGTAGAACAGGGGTCCTGGGGAAGGTGTCCAGGGCAGGGTCCTGGGAAGGGTGTCCCGACCGCTTCCTCTCCAGCTGTGGCTCCATCTGCCCAGCTTGCCTGCCTCCTGCACCCACTGCCCTGACCTTCCTGCTTCCCACGCTGCCATCTCTGCCAGGGTGCCACATGGGTTCCTGTGCCACCCTTTCCCCGCCCCTCAAATCGTCCTTTAAGTCTTCCTTCCAAGTGCTGTGGGGCATAACGATGAGGCGCTGGCCTTGGGGGCCACACCAGGTCGCAGCAAATGGCTTCAGCCTGGGACGCCAGTGTTTTATGCTCTTAGTTCAGTAAAATACGCCCCCGAAATTCAAGATTGAGTGTCAGGCTTTATATATATTCAGCATTCCTCATTACAGAAATCTTCTATTGAATGGGAAAGGTTTAAATGCTAACCAAAGCAATTTATTTTTAATTAATATTTTTAGACTCTGTGCTGTCATACTGAACTCACTGCTAGCTAAGAGACCTATCAGAGATTTAGATATATTTTCTCCAGGTTTTTTGTGGGTTTTCTTTGTTGTTGTTGTTGTTCTAGCCATGTGACAGAGGCTCTTTCTAAAAGTATGTAGTTCGCTGTGTGTCGGCTCCAGCAGTAACCGTCCTCACTGCGCCACGCACTCCTCTGTAGATGTGTGCCCAGTGGGAGTTCCTTCCAGCCCCAGGACCACAGCAGCAGCCAGGTGCCGAGTGGATTGAGTGCCAGGTGCATCCAAGACTTTCCCTCCCTTCCAGAAGGCACTGACTGAAGACAGGATGGATCATGCGGAGCCGGCTGAAATGCTCCAACTTTTTCAAAGTGTGGGTGGTCCAGTTTGGACTGATGGGAATCTTCTTGTCATTCTTTTTAAACGGATGATACCGATGGAAATAAAAGGTGGGAAATATATTCAAAAATTGTCACCCTAATTTTGCATTAATTTACTCAGCCTCCCCAGCTGTAGGTGTTGAAAGTGTCTGGGTGACTAGCTCTTCATTTTGATTGCAGGATGTCTGTTTCCACTGAGTTTTGTGAGGAGATGATGGAAGGATGATCTCAGAAGCAGAGGGCATCTGCTGTGAAAGATGCCGCACGCCAAGCGGGGCTGGGGTGCATCCTGGGCAGGGGACTGAAATGTACCTGTCAGGGTTTGCCTCAGAAGTGCCTGGTGAGCTGAGGTGACGCGGAGTCTCAGCCTCATTTGACACAATGCCACACTTGGATTTGGGGCCTGAATTTAAGCTTTTGGCTAACAAATCGCTGTCCTGCGCTTGGTTCAGGCGTGTCTTCTAGCTTCCCAGCTGTTTTTAGCCATCATAGAAGCAATGCCACACCAGCAGGCCCCAAAACTCTTCCGTGTCTTGTGAAGAGAGAGCCGCAGAGGAAGCCGGCTGTGGAGGCAGTTCTGGGCATGCGCTATGTCCAGAATGGGCTGCCCTCCAGGCATGGAGACTTGGGCCGGGCCTGCTCCACCGGACAGGCGGTAGAGGAGGGGGCAGGACGGTGCTGAGGTTGGAGGAGAGGCCGTTGCAGAGGAGGGGGCCTGGGAGGGTTCTCCTTGGGGAGTCAGAGGAAAAAGCACATTCCAGATGTGGGACAAACAAGATAGTATTTGGGGCAGGACAGTCTGAGTGTGACATGTTCATGGGCTGCCAGAAGGTGCGGGTTGTGGGGAGAGAAGAATGGGGGCGGATGGTATGATTGCTGATCACAGCGGGGAGGTTGGATGCCATTAGAGGAGCAGGAGTGGGCATGGGCGTGTAGCAGGCAGGTGAGGGCAGCCCATGCCAGCACAATGGTGTGCACAACTGGTCAGGTGTCCTTGATGCTGATCACGGCCTTACCCTGTCCTTGTGTTCCTGCCCATATGTCCTATGGGTAGCTCCTGTCCTTCCTCCCTTAGCCAACTCCTCCTCAGTCAATTTATCAAAAGCAGACACCTTGTTTCTTCATTCATAGCAAGGCGACAGTGGTGTGGCTGGAAGGGAACCAGGCCTGGGTTCAGGGGATCAGACTCTCTCACTCACCGTGTCTCTCAGGCTGTCAGAAACCAGAGCGAAAATGGACATCTGGCCATCTTTATGTCCTCAACATCTCGCAAAGCTCTCTGTGCAATGGAAGTAGAAATTACCCCAATGTGTGTTGCTATAAAAATGCAAAGTGAGTGCAGCGCCCGTGTTTTGGGTCCATGCCCCACTGGGTTTCTCTGGATGGCTTGATGCATGCTCCATTCTCTGCTGTGGGGAGATAAGGTGGGGACTGGAGCTGACGTGTCAGTGAGGGGCTGCTCAGGCCAGAGCGCAGCATCACCAAGCAGCAGTGTCTTCGGCAAGCAGGAGTCAGTGTGAACGTCTGTGCAGGCTCAGGGCCGGCCGGCAGCACTGCCCGCAGGCAGCACTCAAGGCGGTTCTCTGGCCTGCGCCACCGGAACCGTCCCTTCAGCACGATGGAAAGGTCCTCTCTGGTAGGTATGCCCCTTGTGGCAGCCACAGGCCCCAATGGCTCCGGGACGCAGCAAGACCTGGCCACCCCCGAGGTCTGTGTGTGCTTAAGTCTCACCCGGAGAACAGTGCATGGTGCCGTTTCTGCGGGTTCTCCTGCACCGATCTGCTTGCCTCCCAACAGGCCCATTTTCCTGGGGTGGGGGTCGGGGGCACTTTGGTTCCCAGGGTTTGGAGGTTTGGCCTAGAGGAGTTACAGCGCCTGCGTCCTTTCCTTCCTACTGCCCACAGTGCAATCCCTACCTGTTCATCCGCGCCCGAGGGCGGACCCGCCCATCACCTAGCAGGTGATCCCTGGCGGCCCCGGCCGTCTCTGATGAAGTATCTTCTGCATTAAGACTATGAAGCGCATGCTGCTCTACCTGAAAGGGCTGCTCCACTTGAAGGGGCTGCTCCACTTGAAGGGGCTGCTCCTGCAGCAGGTGCTTCTCTCTGCAGCGAGATGATGAGCTCTCCACGGCAGACACTGTCACCTGCAGCTTCTCTCCTGGCACCCGGGCCAACCGGGGCACATGGATGCAGAAAGTGGCACCATCAAGGGACTGAAGAGCACCCCGCTCAGGTGCTGTGAGGGGTGCTGAGGGGTCTCCTGCAGGGCCCCTCGGCAGACTGAGCCCCACTGGCCCCTCGAGCCCCTGGGCACAGGGCTCCCCTTGGGTGCCCGGTGGCTCTGGCATGTGTGTTGCGCCTTCCAGCACCAGGCGCTGCCCTGGCTCCTGTGCACGAGCCCGGGGTGGGGCTGCTGCCCGCCCCCACCCCTCCTTCCACTCCAGGCCCTGAACGGACTTCCTAGATTCATGCCAGAAAATGACATGCCAGAAAATGACCCTGCTCCCAAGCAGGGTCCCCGCTGTCACCTGCACAGGCTAAAGAGCTCCTCCCTTGCTCCCCGGCCTCTTCCCCATCCACTTCCTGCACCAGTGACACTGGGGGCAGCCCCGCAGCGCACCCACAAGTCACCCCCAAGGCTGCCCAGGCCGGTTGTGAGAGGCAGAGGGCAGGAGGCCCGCCGCCCTGGGTTCCTGGAATCCCAAGCTCCAAAAAGAAGCTGAGACTCAGTTTGCAAAACAAAAAGAGGACACAGGAGCACTTTTAACGTTCAGGCTGTATATTTCAGTTCCCCCCAAGGCCCTCGAGACGGACGATTTGCCAAAATAACCAGGTTCAGTGGCTTCTGTAAAAAGTCACTTCCTCTCAGCAGGAAAGGCCCAGTTTCGTGGGGCTGGGGGAGCTGGGGCAGTCCGCCTGCAGCCCCTGAGGTGGGAGGGTCCCCAGGACTAGGCCTTTCGCCAGGTCAGGGATGGGGAGGGAGGACAGGAGCCACCCTAAAAGGGAAAAGGGGGCGGTCCCCAGGGCGAGCACTCCCGCTCCCAGCGCCTCCTGGCCACCAAAGAAAAACCAGACGCCTGCGACGGGCTCTCCTCCCGCCCGGGCTTCCTCGCTCCTCGCCCCTCGCCGGCCATCGGGCGCCACCACCGCGGGTAGCAGGGCGGGGCGCTCTGGGAGCCGCTGGGTGTCTGGGCTGGCGTCTGCAGGGGCCCCGCGGGATCAGGCCGGCTGCAGGGGCGCGGCGGCGCAGCCCACCTTGTTGCTGAAGAGCCGCGAGAGGCTGCGCATGGGCGGAGGGGGCCGCGGGGCACCTCGGAGCCCGCGCACGTCCCAGAGGCGCAGGGCGCCGTCGTGCGAGGCGGTGTAGAGCACCTGGCCGTGCACCTGCGGGCGCAGGGGCGGGCGTCACCGGTGACGCGGTAGGCGGGGGGGACACCGCTGCCCGCGTGGATGGATCGGGGCGGGGCACCTTCCCTCCCACGGGCGGCGGCCCCGAGAAGGGCAGAGGGACCTACCTGGATGCAGTTGATGATGAATGTGTGGCCCCGGAACACCCTCCGCAGCTCTCCAGACTGCGCGTCGAAGGCCCGGGCGCAAGCGTCCCCGCTGCCCGTGAACACTGCGGACACACAGCGCGCGCTGGGCCTCCCTCCCTGCTCGGCCCCCCGCAAGCAGGGATGGGGCGGCGAGAGCGTGACCTGGGGCGTCTCCGAGACTCCGCCCCACGGGGGTATCCTGAGGCTCATATGGGAAGTGGACAGTGCCCCTCCAGAGAAACGGGTCCCCACGGTTATTCTGCTCCACCCTGCAGATGCCTGCGCGCCAGCTGGCCCTGCCCCTGCCCTGCTGAACACCGCCCGGGCCCAGTCCCCACTCCGCGGTTTGGTGAAGTTGGTTTCCGTGCCTGCTTGGGAAGCCCCTGCCTGGGGATAATCGTCAGGTCCTCGAGTCGCTTCCCCCCTACCTTCCGCTGCGTCGGCAACCTTATCCTCCCGTCCTCATTAACGGATCGGCACTCAAATCAAAGCCCAGCCCTCTGGGGTTCATGATCACGCACCCCCGGGACCCCTAGCGGGGGCGAGCCTCCGACCTCAGTCTGTCTCCTCCCCCAGGTGGCTGCCTCTCCCTGGGGTTTCTCCTAAGATTTCAGTCCAATCGTTTTCCAACTGCAACCTGCATTTGCATCCGTCACTTGGAGGTCTTAGCCACAGATCGCGGGGCCGCATCCCAGAATCTGATTTAGCAGGCGGGGCCTGAGAATCGGCATTTCTAACCAGTTTTAAGTGATGCTGCTGCTAGTCAGGAGGCCACACTGAGGATGTGGACTAGAAGAACTCACTTGGCCTAGGCTGGGCTCTCCGAAGCCGACCCTGATGCTAGGACTTGATGCAGACAGTTCACCTGGCAGGCGTCCCAGGAAACGCTCACAGGGAAATGGGAGATGGAAAGGGAGGGAGGAAGTCCTGTGGGGTCTGTCAATGAGCAGGTAACTACGGTGGGCAGCTATGGTGCAAGCCTGCCAGGGACCTTGGGGAAAAGGGGTAGGACCACCTGAGGGTAAGGGTGCTGGGCTACCTATCTATCTGAGGGTGCTCTGTGGGTACTTGTTCCCCAGCCTTTTTTTTTTTTTTTCTTACAGGGAGACAGGGTCTCACTCTGTTGCCGAGGCTGGAGTGCAGTGGTACCATCTTAGCTCACTGTTAACCTTGAACTCCTGGGCTCAAACGATCCTCCCGCTTCAGCCTCCTGAGCAGCTGGGACCACAGGCATGCACCACTACACCCAGCTAATTTTAAAAAAAACGGGGCGGCGGGGTGGGGGGGGGGAGCTGGGCACAGTGGCTCACGCCTGTAATCTCAGCACTTTGGGAAGCTGAAGCTGGCAGAGCAGATCATGAGATCAGGGGTTTGAGACCAGCCTGGCCAACATGGTGAAACCCTGTCTCTACTAAAAATACAAAAATTAGCTGGGTGTGGTGGCACACACCTGTAGTCCCAGTTACTTAGGAGGCTGAGGCAGGAGAATCACTTGAATCTGGGAAGTGGAGGTGGCAGTGAGCCTAGACTGCGCCATTTCACTCCAGCCTGGGCCACAGAGCAAGACTCCGTCTCAAAAAAAAAAAAAAAAAAATGTTTGTAGAGACAGGGTCTTGCTATGTTGCTCAGGCTGGTCTTGAACTACTGAGCTCAAGAGATCCTCCCGCCTTGGCTTCCCAAAGTGCTGGGATTACAGGCATGAGCCACGGTGCCCAGCCTGTTCCAGCCTTTTTGTTAAAACTACAGAGTGAATGGCCCCAGAGGGGAAGTTTCATTTCTGGGTCTCTTTTCAGCCCCTTTCTGCCTTCCCCCCACAAACTCAGACAAATGGACATGGCCTGGAAAACCCAGTGTGGCTGCTGAGCTCCCCGCGGGTGGGAAGAGGATCAAAAACAAAGTCTGATCATCCCATAGCCTTGCTGGCCAAGACCAAGAACCGAGCTGGGCAACAGTGAGCTGCAGGCTTCGCTTTCCCTGCGGGCTCCATGCCCCGGCTGCACGGGGAGGTGTTCTAGGCGGCCGCCGGCCAGAGCCTTTGAGAGTGGAACCTTCCTCGTGTTCAATTAGAGGACCCAGACTTGGGAACAGAGCCGTAACCACACTTCCAGCCTTGGACACAGGAACAAACGAAAAATAATTTTTCTGTGTCAGACACCTGAATCCTGAGGGCATGTCAGGATCTATTTTCAGATATCTACATTCTGTCTTCATCCAACACCTTTGCTGTGAGGTCAACTTGAATATTCCACTGTGACTCTTCCCCAACCCAGTCTCCTCCCTCCCAGAGGCAGAGCCAAATGGCCCGAGAGTGTGACAAGTTGAGACCTGTAGGACAGACAGCAGGTTGCCTGCCCAACAAGCGATTCTGCCCTTCTTTCTTTCCAAAATAACCCTGATTCCATCTGGGCAGCAAATTCCTCAGATAAAAGACTTTATGATTCTCTATCTCTTGCAGACAGAATGGTCACAGAGAGGTATGTAGAAGCCCTTGGATGAAGCTTCCAGGAAAGATCTTAAAGGACCAACTCAGCTAGAAGACGCGTCCTTTCGCCCTTCATCCTCTCTCTCTGCCTGCCTAAAACATGACACGATGGCTGGCACTGTAGCAGCTATCTTGAATCATGAGGCTTCTTTAAAGATAGAAGGTCTGTGCTAAGGATGACGAAGAAGAGTGACAGAAGAAAGCTGGGTGCCTGATGACTTTGTGGAGCCACCCATTCCAGCCGAGACCACCAGCCTCTGAAATTCTTCTACCTGAGAGAAAATAAACCACCACCTCATTGGAACCACAGCTACCTGGATTTTCTCTTCTCTGCAGACAAATCCTAAGGCCAAGTGAGGCCAAAGCCATGTGGCCCTCGAGGCTGGCAGGATTAAGGGGCAGTCACTGTCTCACTTGGAGAATTAGGATACACCCTTTGGGACATGCTTTTGACCCTAGACCCTCCCAGCAGTCCAGTCTCCCAGGCTGTCCTGGAGAAAGGTTGGGAGGAGCCACCAAACCCTTATTTGCACCTTCTTTGCAAAACAGCTGGAAGCACGGGTGTGTGGAGAAGGAACGAGCACTGCCATTGGACGCTGATGATTGGCAGCCAAGGCTCAATGAGGGAAAATCCCATAGGAAGTAAAGAAGCAGAGAGGAGAAGCCAGGCTGGGGTGGCACAGGTCGTGCAGGGCCAAGTCACTTACAGGTGCCCGCGTGGTACTTGAGGGCGCTCACGTTGCGTCTGTGGGCCGTGAACGTGCGCACACACTCCCCTGTGTCTGCCAGCCAGCACTTGACGGTCCTGTCCGCGCTGCCAGAGTACACGAGTCGGTTCACCAGCTGCGAGGAGGAGCAGGGAAGGTCGGCAGCTGGGGCAGCTCTGAAGCCCCCCAGACCTCTCCCTCTATAAGGGGGGAAGGGGCATGTGCAGGTCTCAGTGGTGAAACCATGGGTGAGCCTCGAATGGCCCCGCCACCGGCCCCACCAGACTGCCCACTTCAGCACCCAAAAGCAGGCGGCTGCTCCTGCCCCATGGGGCAGCCAGTGCTCCAACAGGGCTGGCCGCCCAGCCCCACACTGCCCTGGGCCAGTCCCTGGCTCTCTGCCCCTCAGCTGCTTCCCCTGAGGATTAGGATGTGGACAGCCCCTTCCTCGAGGGTGTGTGTGGGGTACAGGCACTTAACTGCTCGCTCCTGCTGGCTGAGGAGAGGGCTTCCAGAGAAGGGCTTTCACATGGGGCTTTTGCTTCAGACAGGACAGAGAAAGCCCTGAGCGAGGGTGTGAGGCAGACTTCTGCCAAGACTGGAGCTGACAGCCGGGGACTGTCACGGGGTCACTGCTCCCCCTGCTCATGGGGCTCACAGTGAGAAGAGGGCCCGGGAGACAGTCTCACCCAGCCATGTGATGCTGCTGTCTCGCAGGAGGTACGGAGAGGGCCCAGGAGACAAGGGAAGAGGCCCTCGCCAAGATGGACGGGAGTAGCGGCCCCAGGGAAGTGCGGAGACTATTAAAATAATTCTGTAAATTCCCCTAGACTAAACACCACCCAGCCAAGAGCACTCCCAGCCAGCACCTCTGGTCAGCAGTCACGGACGAGAAGGCCAGGGCGGGCAGGCGGGCTCCACAGCTGCAGTGACCTGGCGCGATGGCACAGGAGACAGGCGCAGGCTTCATGCCCCAGAGAGGCCTCCTGCCACTACTGCTAGGGCCCAGGAACCAGGAGTCAGAAGCGGGTCAGGCACACAGGGCATTTCTCCTGTGGTCGGCAGGCAGTGGGCCCACCGGCAGGCAGTCAGTTCACGCTGGCCACTGGCATCCCGAACACGTCCCTCCTAACCTTCCCCTCACGACCACGCTCTGGGCCACTTTCCACTGCCGGTTCCCCATATTATCTCCCTGTTCAAATCCCAGAGGACAGAGCTTCCACGACCCGGGCCACAGCCCAGGTCAAAGGAGTTAACTGGCCTTGGGCCAATCACTGTGCCCAGAGAAGGCAGTGGAACCACGAGGAGCACAATGTGGCCTCTGGGAGGCAGAGGCTGCAGGTGCTTCCTGTGGACAGTCACCTGCCCTCTCTCAGGCCCTGCCCTGAAGTCCTGCTGGGGTTACGGTGGGCCCCAGCCCAGGCAGCCTCCCTAACTGGATGGTCCCCTCCCCAAGGACAGGGATACTGCCTACCTGCCCGTGTCAGCTTTGGCAGGGTTCCAGAACATTCCTGCACTCAGACCTCAGCCATCTGCACCACCCAGGAGCACAGTTCCTGCCAGTAATGCGGGCACCAGCAGGAAGGACAAATGGACCTTCCTGAGCCTGCCGGGCACACAGTCAGCTGCTTACAGTCTTCAACAGCCCCTCTGCTTCCTGAGAAAGACCACCCCTCCTGCCTCAGGCTCGGAGGCCCTGCAGGGCCCAGCTTCCCTGGCCCTATATCCTGGTTTCCACTCCACACACCTGTGTCCACACTGCTGCCCCAGGACCTCTGGGCACGTGCCTTCCTCCCAGGTTTCCTACAAGTCCTCCCTGCCCAGAAAGCCCTTGTACTGTGATCCTCCCTTTTCCTTCATCGGCAAGTGGAAGCCCAGGATCCTTCTTCGCACCGCCCCCAGGGCACTGTGTCTGTGTCCCGGAGGCTGGGCTGACCACCACCAGCGCAGCGTTTCCTGGCCATCTCCCCAACACATGGTCAGCTCCAGAGCCAGCCAGGCTCCCTGTGCTTGCGTCCCAGACAGTCACAGAGCCTCTCAGGCTCTAATAAGAGGAGTGGGCAAGGGTGGAATGTTTGAGACTGAGACCTCCAAGGACTGGCCAGCTTTGCAGCCCCACACCTCTGTGCTGCTCAGCCCCTGCACCAAGGAGGCTTCCTGGGTGACCAGGGCAGGAGGCTTGCTGGGTGACCAGGGCAGGAGAGGACAAAGGGAAGCCCCTCCTGTTCCCTGGCAGCCGGCCCTCACCACACAGGGCCTGTGAGCACTGTGCTTAGCCCTCCCAGTAGCACCCTGCCGAACATGAGCCAGAGCCACACAGGCCGAGGGGGCGCTCCCAGCCCCAGGGTCCTCAGCCTGTGGAGGCCTTGCTGTTCCCTCTAGCTGGTTTCCTGACAGGACAGGGAGAGCGGGGTGGCCCAGGGAGGCCTGAGCCAAGGGGGAAGGCAGGATGATCCTGAGGGCTCCTCGCAGCCACGGCGGCTCTGAGGAGTCTCCCAGCGATGAGATCCAACCAAGCAGAAGCAGGAGAGGCACCGGCCCGGGGCTCCGCCGCTGAGGGCACAGATGCGGGCCTCCACCTCCCCGGGCTCCAAGGGAGCCCCGCAGGGGTGGGAGAAGGCTGCAGAGGGCCTGGCAGGCTCCAGAGCAGCAGACCCTCCAAGATACTCCTCCCAAGCAAGAGTGTCGGGGGACGCACCACCTGCCTGGTGACAGCTGTGGTGGTCACAGGCACGGGGCTTACAGATGCACAGTCTTGGGTTCAAATCCTGCCTCCACCCCTCAGCAGATGTGAGACGTGGCCAAGTTACTCATCTTCTCCAAGCTTCCACTGTCTCATGTGCAACGTGAGAAACAAGGACCTCCTGCTAAGAACGAGGCCACAAGGGCTGATGCACTGCTGTGCGCCACACGCAGCCCAGGGCCTGAACATGGTAACCCCCGCCCATCCCCAAAACGCAGGTGCAATCTCT
The DNA here is from genome assembly GCF_000001405.40 of Homo sapiens. Classification (NCBI taxonomy): domain Eukaryota; kingdom Metazoa; phylum Chordata; class Mammalia; order Primates; family Hominidae; genus Homo; species Homo sapiens. The sequence goes on from NC_000007.14 coordinate 151,388,060, forward strand.
GCCCGCCGGCTCCTCAGGGTTGGGTGAGACTCATGAACTGGTACGACAGGGCTTTTGCAGCCAGAGACTGCCCCACGACATCCTTGCTGTGGTCCCCACCACCTCGGGCTCCCAGATCCTGTAGGTCTTTCTTTTCTCTGGCTGGATTTGAAATGCTTCGTTTCTTTAAAATCACAATGTTGCTATCTGATTTCAAAACTGGGTGCATAGGTGTCTGTTTTAGTTATTTTTTACAATTTACATTTGAAATGTTTTATAACTAAAATGTTTAAAACATCTCTGTAAAACCATGAAGGGACAGGGCAGAGACTCTATCTCTCCTCCTTCACAAGGACCCCAGGTCAAGCCCAGAACCTGGGCGACCCCTCAAAGAGCAGGGGAGAGGGCTGCCCTGCAGCGCAGGGCCACCACAGACAGGGTGCCCCCTGGCTTTTTGACCTTGGGTTTGTCGCTTAGAAGCAGGTCCTCACACCATCTCTGGCCCGACCCTCTCCAAAGGAGGCCTGTGTGCTCCTGGCTCTGTCCCCACCTGGCTTCTGGGACCCCTGAGATCGGTGGCTCAGCCCTGCATGCAGTCCTGTAAAAGGCGAGGGAGGCAGAGGCCCCTCTGGGCACGGTGGTTTCTCAGGACCTCACCTCTGCTTTTGGCCAACTTGGAGCAGGCTGCAGGCTTCAGGGAAGCAGGGAGGATGCTTTGTGGCCACCTGGTCCCCAGGCTGACGGTCGGAGGCGGGGTATATGAAGCTATGGTCTGAGTGTCGGAACCCCCCAAATTCATGCTGGAACTTAACCCCCACTGTGATAGCATTAGGAAGTAAAGTGGTTATGAGGGCCCGCCTCATAAATGAGATGAGTTCCCTTTTATAAAAGGGCTTAAGGGAGCCTGTTTGTCCCTTCATCCAAGACGAAGGACGTGGCAAGAGCAGCAGCCACCAGACACAGAACGTGCTGGCGCCTAGACCTTGGATTTCCCAGCCTCTGGAACAGTGAGAAATACATTTCTATTATTTATAAATTACCCAGTCAAAGGTATTCTGCACCTTTTTTTCTTTTCTTTCCTTTTTTTTTTTTTTTTTGTTTGAGATGAGGTTTCTCCATGTTGCCTAGGCTGGTCTGGGAACCCTGGCCTCAAGTGATCCGTCCACCTCAGCCTCCCAAAGTGCTGGGATAACAGGCGTGAGCCACCGTGCCCGGCCCTCCAGTCTAAGGTATTTTGTTACAGGAGCAGCAATGGACCAGGACTCTGCGAAACTGCACGGTCTCCTCTTTTCCTCCCCAGCCTCTGGAAAGGCTGCCCACGGGCTTATCTCCATAAATCAAAGAAGCCTGACCTGTGTGATGTGAGTGGTGCAGACACCACAGCTCAAACGCACCATCGCCGGGCGGCTCACTCAGGGTCCCAGCAGACGCCCCACACTTGGCCCACCAGGAAACCTCAGCCACTCTCTCCCTTGGCTCTTGACTTGCAAGCACACACGCTTCTTCGGCAAAACGATTTCAGAGGCGACACAATGGGGCTCGCAAAGCCACTGTGGGGGCCCAGGACTCTTAAGGGCACCTGGGAAGGAGTCTGCCCGCTCCGCCCTGCACAGGGCAGGGGCTGTGTGAAGTCCTTTTGAAGAGCTTGCTTCCTGGTCTCAGGTGCACCCACCAGGCCTGTACGCATAGGAGAAGGACGCCTGGAAGTGAGCATGAGGCCCTCTCTCATTTCGAGGAAGGGGAAGGAGATGAGGTGTCATAGACCACGGGTCAGTGACCCCGACTGCATGCCGAGAGCAGAGAAAAGCAACAAGCAGGTCTCTGCTTCAATCTTAGATAGCAATGGTGCCGCCTGCCTCACAGGGTTTCTGGGTTGGGGTGGAGAAGCCACACAGTCCTGTGTGTGGGTGCCATGTTCCTGAGAGCAGTTTGTGGATGGGGGTGCCGGTGAGCCAGGGGCTGAATGCACAATCTCCAGCCCAGCAGAGCACTGAGGCAGAGTGAGGGCCCCAGGCAGGCCATGAGGCAGGGGCCCCAAAAGGATCCAAATGCAAGAGAGCGTGGGGTGTAATGGCCAGCCCTGGTGCCACGAACCAAGGGACAGTCAGAGCTCGGGGAGACGGAGCACTCGCAGGGCCAGGGCTGCGGAGCAGGGGAGGAGCTGGAGGGGAGGAGATGAAAAGTCCCTGGTTCAGCCCTCAACGACAGAGCTCTCCCCGTGAAAACAGACCAAGCCCAGAGCTCACTGCACACCCCCCACATCAGGACCCCATCTGGCCACGCCAGGGGCAGCCATCGTGTGTCCCCACTTGGCAGATTGTGAAAAAGGAGTCCCCCCAACCCCCACAGTCAGGAAGCCTCCGGAAGTTGCACAGCGTCCTGACGCTGTGGGCAGAGGGGATGGTACGGCGCCCACCTCCCATCCCTTTCCCTCTACACTCGCCTTAAGAATCATTTCACTTTGGCAGTTCCTCAAAAAGCTGAACAGAGAATTACCAAGTCATCCGCAGTCCCACTGGCAGGCATATACCCGAGAACTGAAGGCAGGATGCACCCAGATCCCGTCCACCCGTTCACAACAGCTGAAAGGTGAAAGCAACCCGTGTGTCTATCAACAGGTGACGGATAAGCGCAATGTGGTATCCACATACCAGGGAATATTTATCAGTCACGGAAAAAGGAGGGAATCTCATCACACACCACAACACAGACGAACCCTGAAGATCTTATGCTCATGAAATAAGCCAGACAGGAAAGGACAGATCCTGCACGACTCCACTCATGTGAGGACCCAGAGTCATCAAATTCAGAGACACAAAGCAGAAGGGCGGGTGCCCGGGGCATGGAAGAGCAGCGGGGAGTCAGTGTTTAATGGGGACAGAGTTCTGATTTGGGCTGATGGAAAAGTCTGGAAATCATGGTATGATGCTTGCACAACACTGAACGTGCTTCACGCCCTGAGTAAATGCTGAAAATGGTTTAAAGGGAGGCCTCAGCTGATCCTGTGGGTCCCCCTCCTGTGCTTCCTGGACCCGAGAGGGCCAATCAGGCCCTTCTAGAAAGGCAGATCGTGAGCGGCACTTCCAGCCCATCTGATGAAGGCTGTGGCGGCGATGGCCCTCGGTCAGAGAAGCCACAGAAGGCAGGAGGGAGAACTGACATAGCCACCTGCGGGGGCGGGGCCCAGCGAGGGCTAGGGGACGCCATACCCAGAAGTCCTGCTTCCCGGATCTGCTCATGAGGCTCCTGCCCTGGCTCCCTGCCCCTGAATCTCTGTCAGGAAGCCCCCTCTGCGTTTAGGACAGTGTGAGAAATGTCCCATAGCCCTAATCAAACCTGGCTTGTAAGGCAGCAGCCTTCTAACCCCTGCAAAACTCCAATTTCCTGAGTGGTGTCGGGTGAAAGAAATCATATACAAGGGAAGAGAAAGGCAAGATGGTCCCTTCTGTGGGTCGCATGGCCCCCCACACGCAGCTGGGTGAGCTGGGAGCCCGGGCGAGACTGAGGGTCCGGCTGGATTCTGTTTCTCTGCGCACCGGGTCTGGGGCCCGACAGTCCTTTTCAAGAGGCAGATCTGGATGGGTGGGAAAAGGTGCCTTCCCCACCCTGTGAAGGGAAGAAAGAGGGAATCTTAAACATGGGCAATGTTACAACACACTCAGATGCACCAAAATGTCACCCAACAGACTTCCCAAGGGATTAGAAGGTGCTGGACGATTAGGGAGATGGCGGGAACAAAGTAAAAGAAACTCCCGTCTACCGAGAATCTAGGAGTCCAAGTACAGGGGTGCGCCTCCTCCCCAGCCCCGCCCCTCCCACGCACCGTGAGGCTGACACCTCATCCCACCCGTCCTGGGCGATGGGGGCCTTTTTTCTACCTCAGCCACCAGGCCTTCCTAGTGAAGCAGGGTGTCACTTAGTAGTTACCTTAGTGACTACCTGAGCAGAGCCCCAAACCATCAGACGTTTGGCTGCCTTCAGTGCCAGCTGCTCTTTCTGCAAAAGTGTGTGCTGCCTTCCTTCTGCCAGCCCCTTCAGACGCTCAGGGCAGGGCAAGGTGCTGCCCAGCTGAGACGCAACAGCCAGGCCCGAGCCAGCCATGTGCTCCCCAAGAGTGGACCTCCCGGACCCCAGCTCTGATCGGGGCCCCCAGCCTATGCTGCAGCCTGATGCTCCCCTGCGCCCAGGCCTGGGTCATGTCCCTTCTCTCTTGCCCACATGCCCCCATCCAGCTGGCCAGCGAGGCCCTCTCCCCATGTGCCCCCTGCACCCCCAGCCTCTCAGACACTTGGACCCCCATCCACCCACCACTGACTCCTCATTAGGGAACAGGAACCTCCCTCCCTGAAGGGGACTTATGCTGGAACTTAGGGTTTGTGTTTACAGGGGTAAAATGGACCCTGCCCCAGAGTCCCCCACTGTGAGAGCATCCCCATGTGGAGAGCATGTAACCCCTGAAGCCCCCTACCCGGGGGGTGGGCCTTGCCCATGCCTCCTGCAGCTTCGGAGCCCCTGCGGAGCGCCGCCCATTCACTCCCTCATCCCACGAGCCTGGCTCCCAGGTCGGGAGGCCGAGTCTAATAGAGGAGGCAAACTCCACCCCTGCCACTACCAGAAGCTGAGGCTCCGGGGCCACCGGCCGCCCAGGGACCTCCCAGGCCTGTCACAGGCTGTGCACCCTGCACACTGCGGGGCCACTACCTAGGTGCCTGCTAGCTCCTTCCTTGCCCTCCCTCTTGCCTTCCTTCTGTCTTTACGAGACCTAGTGGTCCTGAGAGGCTCACCTCCACCTCCCAGAACCTTCTGACCAGTGCATTCCTAGGGGGTCTCAGCCCTCATGGCAGCCCTGCCCGTCTCCAGAGCCCCCCATTCTTCAGTCTTGGCTCCCTGCACCCCACCCCCCTGCTAGGACTGAGCCCCACTGGCCACCTGGGCCAGGCTGTCCCTGGCTGTTCCCATGGGCACCTTCTGTCCCCAGTCCTCTTCCCATTCAAATTGCTTTGTGGGACTGGCTAAGTTTCAAAGGGAAAGAAAACAAAGGCACAGTCCATAGCCAGAGCCTCTGGCCCCCGGGTGCTCTCTCTTCATACCCATCAACATGTGTGTCTGCGTGGTATGTTTGTGGGCATGCATGTACGTGCGTGGCTTGTCTGTGTTCACACGTGTGTTCACACGTGTGTGCATGTGTGCCTGTGGGGTGTGCGTTCACACGCGCGTATCATGCATGTGCATGTGGAGTGTGTGCGCCTATGCCTGTGTGTGCACACAGGTGTGTGGGGTGGGAGCTGTCTCTCCGCACTCTCTCCTTTAGCCTTCCTGACTCTCTGCCAGGACACCCTACGCTCCCACTCTCCAGGAAGAACAGCACTGAGACCCTACAGAATACCCCAGGGAGCGAACCCGGGGAATCCTGCCACCCCTGGAGTGAGGACAGCTGTCACCTGGGAGGGCAGTGCTGCTTTTCTCCCCCCTCCGTCCAGCACCAGCCTCCACCTGGCCAGTGGCCTTTCTATGCCTGCGCTGGTTCCTCTTTCACTGGTGACATGAGGGCGAGTCACCAGCTCCATCTGGGACAGGCCTCCCAGCGAACTCCTGGCCCCTTCCCCTCCCAACCCCCTGCCCTGGCAAGCTCAGAGCACAGACATGAGCCAGGTAGGGGGGGTCTCAGCCTCACTCCATACTGCCCACCACGGAACTGCCTGGCAGGAAAGAGGCCTCGGATGCCCCCAGCTCTTTACGAGTCTCGGGCCACTAGTGCTGACTCTCACGGGAACCCTGGGAGACTAGAAGAGCTGTTATCACCACCAGCATCTGACAAGTAAGGACACGGAGGGAGGGCCGGGGAGCGTGAAGAGTGGCAGAGTGTGCCTCCCCAAAACACGCCCCTTCAGCATAAGGATGATGTCGAGTTAAAAGGCACGCAAAAAACAGGTGCGAGCAGTGCACCCTGACCTTCCCTTCTTTCCTGAAAGCAGGAGATCAAGAAACAGAAACATTCTTATCACCAGAGGTGGAGCTGAGGCCAAGGGAAACCTGTGCGGACAGACCCTGTGAGATGGGCCCGGACTGCTGTGCCCCTTCCCCACGACGAGCTGCTCTCCCAAGCCCCTCATCTCGCTGCATTTGCTGATTTGCTTCTTTGTCCACCCATCCCAATGTCCTCAGGTGGGACCTGAGTTAGAGACATGGGGTTTACATGCCCCATCCAGCATCTCAGGGACCTGGGTGACCCTCCCTCCACGCGAATGTGAGCCCTTCCCTGCTCCCCTGGTCTTGGAGCCCCGGGGCCGCCTCTACCCCTACAACCCCAAATGGGGCCCCTGGCCTGGCTCTCCTATGGGGTTGAGCACAGCGAAGCCTGATCAGGGCTGCCCTGACTCCAGCCCCGTCACCCGGAGCCTGCCCCTCCCATCTTCTGCGGCTTCGCTGAGCATCAGGTGCTGGTAGCAATGCACCCCAACCGCTTGCCGCAGGGGTCGGACCTGCCCTGGAGCAGGGCAGAGGCTGGCCGAGACTGAGCCAGGAACATCTAGACCCCAGCATGGGGGATCACACCCAACAGGTCCTCCGGCCAGGCACACCGTTAGGTCCTTCACAGCAACAGCAGCAGGGATGGTCACGGTCGCGGCGGCTAAGGGCTGCCTGGCAGCACTGTTCACGCATCTTCCATTGATTCACCAAATCCCTACCACAAGCCCACGGACGGGGCAACTTCATACCATAATCCCTAATCTAAAACCTTGGGACAATGCGTTCGAGGATTTTCTGGCTTACAGACACACTCCTGCATCTGCAGGAAAGGCGTGAGAACCCCCAGGCACCGGGATGTTCGAAGCACACACAGTCACATGTCTCTTCAGGCCAGACTCTGCCACCAGGCGTTTTCGTGCCAAGCTTAAGAAAAAACTTCTCAATTTTTGGAACTTTTTGGATTTAGGAATTAAGAAGGGGCGTAATCCTCCCTGTACATGTGAGGAAACTGAGGCCCACAGAGGCTGGGTGGCTTGTCCAGGGGAGGCAACGGAGACGGGGCAGCAACCCCACGTCCCACACGGCCACACCATTACAGCGCTATGTGCTTCCTCTATCCTGGTTGTCAGCTTATAGCATGATGGGCCACTTCCCAGTCCCCAACCCATGAGGACGGAGCCCAGGAGGCTGCCGGCGTTCACCCTGACAGCACAAAGACAAACCAGGAAAACAGTCAACACCCGCTCCAGGCGCCCTGCAGGCAGGCTCCGCCCCAGCTCTGGCCCAGCATGCAGATTCAGAAGCTGAGTGTTATGGGCTGCATCATGCCCACCCCAGATTCACGTGTCGCAGCCCTACCCCACCCCTGTACCTATGAATGTGGCCTTTTTGAAAGAGGGTCTTTAAAAGAGGCAGTTGAGTTAAAATGAGTTCATAGGGGGGCCCTAATCCAGTATGACTGGTGTCCTTCTAAGAAGAGATTAGGACACACACACACACACACACACACACACACACACACACACACACGAGGACAGGGAGAAGGCAGCATCTGCAGGTTAAGGAGAGGCCTCACGGAAACCAGTACTGCGGACCCCTTATCTTGGATTCCCAGCCCCAGGACCGCAAGGCCTCCGTGGCGCTTGCCAGGCCCCCATCTGCAGCGCTTTGTTATGCAGCCGAATCACAGATACCCAGGGCAGGGCGGCAGTGCAGGGGGTGACCTGGGCTCCCCTGGCTGCTGGGCGGGGACCAGGACAGTCTCACCTCCAGACAGATGACGGAGCCCCGGTGCTCCCGGAACACCCGCAGCTGCTCCCCACTCAGGATGTCCCAGGCACGGATGGTGGCGTCGGTGCTGCCTGTGAAGGCCGTGTGGCCGGGCGTGTCTAGCACTAGGCACAGCACTGCACCCGTGTGGCCCCGCAGCGTCTGGTGGCAGCAGCCGCTGGCCACCTGCCACACCTTGGCTGTGCCATCTGTGCTGCCGGTCACCAGAAGCCCCCCGGCCGCGGCCTCCTCCGCGCAGGGAGTGCTGGGGAGGTCCCACGGGGCAGAGTAGGCTAGGGTCAGCACGCAGTTGCGGTGGCCCCGGAACTCCCGGGACATCTGCCCCTTGTCCACACTCCAGACCCGAGCTGTCCGGTCATAGGAGCTGCTGAAGAGCTGGTTGTTGGCAACCAGGATCCTGGGGGCAAGAGGGAAGGGGTCAGGGATCAGAAGGCACGGGTTCCAGAATCCACACAGCCTCCCGACATGCCATGCTCGGCACTGCAGCTAAAATAACCTCTCCCTGTGTCTGCCCAGCTTGCCACACTCGTCTTCCAAGGTCCAGCTCAAATCGCCCCCACCTCCAGGAAGCTACCCTGACTCCCCTCATGCCCACCCTTCCTTGCCTGCCCCTGGGCATGTACCTGTAGCAGGGACCAAGCTTAGATGCTCCGCTGGGATCCCTCCAGCATCCCCACAGCAGCTCTGCAGGAGCAGCGGGAAGGGGATGGGGGAGGAGGTAGGGGAGCAGCGGGAAGCGGGTGGGGGGGAAGGTAGGGGAGCACGGCCCTCTCAGCTTGCCCGGAGTTGAAAAGCTTCTGGGGATTTAGGGTTTTCAGCCTAAGACTGAGAAAGTCCAGGGCAGAGTGGGACACGCTGGTCACCCTGGGAACAGGGCCGGCTCAAGTGGCTGGGCAGGGCACTTCAGATGAGGGCCCTGAGAAGCTGGAGAGCACTGGGAACTCCCATAGTGCACCCAGGGGTGCTTGTGGGAGGCACAGCCAGGGGTCACGCTACAGCCAGTGGGGGCCTCTGCTGCCAGCTCTCACAGCAATCCCCATGCAGACTGAGGTCACAGCCTCAACAGGGTTCTAGCCACATGGCTGGGAACTGGGGGTTGGGTAGCCAAGAGAGTCCATCCATTCAGTGCAACTGACCAACATGGGAGACCAAGGCCCCCACATTGTATTCACGACTCTTATTTTCATTTTGATGGAAGCCAAGAACTCCCCAGAAAAACACACATTTGTCTTTAGTGCAGAGCTTTGCACAGAACCTCAGAAGGTCTGAGCACACACCCTTGGTAAGAAGCCCTGCACCTCAGGAGAGGAGACCGCCAAGGGGTGCGGCCGTGGCTGCACTGTAACAAGGTGCATCCCTGCCGGGGTGGGACCCTCCTGAATCAGGACCACGGCCGGCCCTGCTGCTCCTCCCGTCCTCCCGCGAAGGGCTTGCTGGCCAGCCTGGCATGGACAGGAGACCCACTCGGGACAAGCCTGCTGCCTCCCGCCTCCACAGGATCCCAACAGCATTCCTCACTTCCCGCAAGCAGCTCAACGACACATGACTCCACTCAAATGCCAACTATCCCTTTCCAACTGGCTTCTTCCCTGAGACCCAGATAGGATGATTGTCACAAAACATGTATTTATTTATTTATTTTGAGACGGAGTCTCACTCTGTCGCCCAGGCTGGAGCGCAGTGGCACGATCTCGGCTCACTGCAACCTCTGCCTCCCAGGTTCAAGCGATTCTCCTGCCTCAGCCTCCCGAGTAGCTGGGATTACGTGTATTTTTAAAGGAAATGATGCCTTGATGCTGCTGCTGCAAAGTGCGGGAGGAAGAGGGTGTAGCGGGAGGAAGGGCATAGCGGGAGGAAGGGCATAGCGGGAGGAAGAGCATAGCGGGAGGAAGAGGGTGTAGTGGGAGGAAGGGCATAGCGGGAGGAAGAGGGTGTAGCGGGAGGAAGAGGGTGTAGCGGGAGGAAGAGGGCGTAGCAGGAGGAAGGGCATAGCGGGAGGAAGGGCATAGCGGGAGGAAGAGGGTGTAGCGGGAGGAAGGGCATAGCGGGAGGAAGGGTGTAGCGGGAGGCCTTGGGGTATGGAGGGGGTGGCTGAGTCCTGCCTGGTGTGAGAAGGCAGGGATGCCAGGCCACTGAACGATCGGTGACCCCAAAGCTCACAGGCCTGACCTGGCTCTGAAAACTCGGGAGGAAGTGAGTTCCTGATTTATGAGGACAGTTACTTAATCATGCAAATATCTACACAGAGCTATGGGTTTGGAGCTGTGACCGATCCAAAATAGTGTGTGTGTTTGTATATGTTGTGAGCACATGTGAACATGTGTGCATATGTGTATATGTGCATGTGTGTTGTGTGCACAATGTGTGCCTGCATGTACTTTGTGTGTATATGTGTATGTTTTGTTGCTTGTGTAAGTTGTGTGTCTATGTGTGTGCATGTGTGTGTTGTGTGTGCATATGTGTGTGTAAGTTGTGTGTATGGGTGCATATGTATGTTGTGTGTATGTGTGTAAGTTGCATGTGCATGTGTAAGTTGTGTATGAGTGCATATGTATGTTGTGTATGTGTGCACATGTGTATGTGTAAGTTGTGTGTATGGGTGTATATGTATGTTGTGCGTGTGTGCACATGTGTAAGTTGTGTATGAGTGTATGTGTGTGCACATGTGTATGTGTAAGGTGTGTATGTGTATATGTGTGCGCACGTGTGTATGTGTAAGTTTGTGTATGAGTGTGTATGTATGTTGTGTATGCACGTGTATATGTGTAAGTTGTTTGTATGGTGTATGTGTATATGTATGTGTGCGCACGTGTGTATGTGTAAGTTTGTGTATGAGTGTGTATGTATGTTGTGTATGCACGTGTATATGTGTAAGTTGTGTGTATGGTGTATATGTATGTTGTGTGTGTGCGCACATGTGTATGTGTAAGTTGTGTGTGCACATGTGAGAGTAAATCTGGCCGAGCATGATTTCTACCTTTAATGTTCCAGTTTTGCTTTTGAGAAGCATCTGACAGTTGTGGGTTTGGCAGCTGAGGGCCCACTGGTCACTGCAGGCAGGCCTTCTCCCCGCTGAGCCCATTGCAGCCTCTGCCTGACTCACAGGAGGGCGCTCCCCCAGCCCTACTCTCTTCTTTCATGGCAAACTTCTTTCTCAGGGAAGTCAGAGTGCTGGGAAGAGGCCAGTGGAGCTGTGAGCCCTGAGTTCTCACTCTAGCCCCTTCTTTACCACCTTGTGGGCTGCCTGGGCAGGTCTCAGGGCCTCACCTGCTTCAGCTGAGGAAGGCCGGGGCCAGACGGCCACCCTACCTTGTGTCTGCATATACCCCCCATTCACTCTAAAAAGTCCCCGCATCCCTTCAGCCTCCTCCTCAGGGTGTCACCCAGCTCCCCGTCCATCGACTATCGATTATTATTCCTGGCTGCAGCCACCTGCGACTCCAGCGAGCTGGGCTGATGGGTCTCACTGCCTTTCCTGTCCCCCCATGCGCTGGTCCACTGACTGGGGGTTCCTGTCAGAGCTCAACCAACAGCATTCCTCTGGTGGGGTTCATCCTGTCTGGTCTGCGCCCCCAGCCCCACCTTCAGGACCCCCTCGTGCCAGCCTGCGCCAGCCCTGTCTTTACTTGGGTCACCCTCCAGGCAGCGCCCCTCCTCCAGTGCAGCTGCCAGGCCCAGGGGCGCCAGGAGGCCTCCCTCGGGAGTCCGAGGTGACCACCACAAGTGACTCCAACAGTGTCCAACTGATCTGATCAGCAAAGGAATTTCCATTGCTCAGCTCAGACCCAAATTCATTGAGAAAGGAACAATTCCAACCTTCTTGAGAAGGAGGGGCTGGGATATTTTCCACAGCTACAAAGAAAGGAGAGGCTTAAAAATATCCTCAACTCCGTCTTCGGAACAATCCCCCACACTCCTCCTCCTGCAAACCTTTGGTCCACCATCGGGTCTCAATTAAGCCATTTCCTATGGAATTTGTCCCCATCCCTACGAGCTGTAGGCTCTGGTGCTTTTCCCTGCACCCAGCGGGGAGCCACTGTGCCCCCAAGGGGGAAGCATCAGGCTCTGTTCAGTGGATGGGCAGTGCCTCCCTGCCCCACATGCAGCCGCAGGCACTGAGCTCGCTGCCTGTCCTGGGTCCACGTCGCTGGGTGCTACTGACCACCTCCCAGCTGTCCACGTTTTTGCTTCCCCAGAGAGCCAAGGGCCCTCACGTGCAGGGGCCCATATCTCTGACCCCTCAGCCCCACCAGAAGCCTATGTATGGTGAGACTCAGCCCAAGCCCCCAGCCAGGCTGACCTGTTCACGATGGACGTGTGTCCTCGGTACACCTGCAGACACTGCCCGGTCAGCACGTCCCACCTCCTGATGGTGCAGTCGGCGCTGCATGTGAAGGCAGCCTCATCCTCCAGCTGGCAGAAGGTCACATAGCTTTCATGTCCTGCAGATGAGGGACAGGGGAGATGTGAGCGTACTGGGGATGCCAGCTCCTGCTTTTCTTCTGGGAACAATGTTTGAAAAGGGAAGAAAGCAGGATGTAGGGAGTGTTTGAGACAAGCTGGAGTCAATTAGCATTAGTTTTGTTTTGTTTTGTTTTTTTGAGACAGAGTCTCACTCTGTCACAAGGCTGGAGTACAGTGGCGCGATCTGGGCTCACTGCAACCTCTGCCTCCCGGGTTCAAGTGATTCTCCTGCCTCAGCCTCCTGAGTAGCTGAGATTACAGGCGCATACCACTATACCTGGCTAATTCTTTGTATTTTTAGTAGAGATGGGGTTTCGCCATGTTAGTCAGGCTGGTCTCGAACTCCTGACCTCAAGTGATCTGCCTGCCTTGGCCTCCCAAAGTGCTGGAATTACAGGCGTGAGCCACTGCGCCCAGCCCTCAACTCATCCTTCTTAAAGAATGACTTCAGTCTGAGTGATTCTCAGAAAGCACGGGGTACCAGTGAGGCACGACAGATAGTCAGGGAAGTAACCATGTCCTCAGGACGCAGCAACCATGGCGACTGCGCCGTCAACACAATAAGCCCCAGCATTCGCACTGCAGGCAAGCTCATTCAAGCAAAGCTATCTTCAGTAGGGACTTTCCCCTGTAGAGAGCACGTGCACTTTGATTTTTACCGGTCCTCACAGTGACCCTTTGCTCATTACAATAGTAAAAAACACACCCCTGGATGGAGATTTAAGATGCCAGTGAGACATGTGACGTATGAACAGGGATGCACAGCCACTGTGCATGAGCACCCAGAACATGCTTCCCAGCAACCCCCTTGCCCACCTGCTCATGAATAATCAGGTAAGACTCCTAAAAAGGGATCCTCCCTCCAGCCGGTCTTTGCTCTCTCATCCTCACAGGCAGCCTACCCTGACTCCCCTCTTGGGGCGTCCTGCCTATTCTGCACCTAACTTTCAGGGTATTCTTCCTCCTGTGCAATACATTGCTCTATGCTGCATCTCCTTTGCTGTGTGTCTCCTGTTTCAATTCTGTTAAACTAAGAAGACAAGAACTGAGGTTTCACAGCAGCCATCAACAGCAGGAGCAATCCAGGGGCACTCGCCTGCACCCTAAACCCTCTGTTTCCTCAGCTTCCACTCTTGCCTTCCTCCCTCCTCTCCTTCCCTCCTCATTTCTTTATCATCTCCTTTTAGTCTTTTTCAAACCTTTCAGCTTTTGCATTCCACATTTCCTCACCTGGGATGGGGACAATGCCTGCCTCACGGGATGTAGCGCAGACTGAGGACAGAGGCAGCCGCAGAGGGAATGGCACATGTTCGCTATTTTCCTTACACTGGGGAGAGATACTGTGGTAGGCAGAATGACGGCCCCAAGACAGCAGGTCCTAATCCCTGGAACCTGTCAATGTGACCTTACTTGGAAAGGGGTCTTTGTGGATGTGACGAGGTAAAGACTTTGACTGGGGAGATTATCCTAGATTATCCGGGGGGTCCTAAATACAACCGCAAGTGGCCAGGCGCGGTGGCTCACGCCTGTAATTCCAGCACTTTGGGAGGCCGAGGCGGGTGGATCACAAGGTCAGGAGTTCAAGATCAGCCTGGCTAAGATGGTGAAACCCCGTCTCTACTAAAAATACAAAAAATTAGCCGGGCGTGGTGGTGGGCGCCTGTAATCCCAGCTACTCGGGAGGCTGAGGCAGAGAACTGCTTGAACCCGGAAGGCGGAGGCTGCAGTGAGCTGAGGTTGCACCACTGCACTCCAGCCTGGGTGACAGAGCAAAACTCTGCCTCAAAAAAAAAAAAAAAAAAAAAAAATATATATATATATATATATATCTCCACAAATGTCCTTACAAGAGAGAGGCCAGGGAGATGTGATATACTCGGAAGAGGAGGCCGTGAAGGTGAAGGCAGAGATGGATGTGGCCACGAGCGCAGGAATGCCAGCAGCCACTAGGGCTGGAAGAGGCCAGGAACCGACCGTTCCCTGCAGGGTTTAGATGTGGCCCTGCTGACACCCTGCTTTCATCCCAGGGACGCTCATTTCAGCCCTCTGGGTTCCAGCACTGTGAAGAATCAACTTCACTTGTTTCCAGGCACCAAGCATCCTCCTTTGTCACAGCAGCCCCAGGACACTAACATAGACACAGAGACAATGAAACACAGCCTTGCCCTCCAAGGGAGCTCCAGGCCCAGAAGGGAAGACAGTCAAGGGCAGCATGTGGTCAGCAGGGCTCGGCACCCCACTGGCAGCGGCTGGCTGGGGCTCGGGAGAGAAGCCTGAGCACTGGAGACCAGGAAGAGGGTGACTCGGTGCCCGTAGGGAGAACAGCGGCTAGGAAAGCAGGCGTGCAGGGACTGGCTCCATGGGGCACCTCCAGGCCAGAGTCTGAGTGATCGGTAGAGATGACTGATGAGGCCGGGATGTGGCCAGAATGGAGGGCCAAGAGTGGAGGGCCATGCCAGGGTGTCTGGGGTCTCAGCACCTGAGCTACCCCACCAGCTGGTTGGGACTCTATCTCATGGGTGCAGTTAGATAGCTTGACTATCACCCTGGCTGCCAGATCAATGTTTATGCCTCAGGCATTGCTTAGCAGCCCTGGGGGCCCTCAGGGTCTCTGATCTTAGTAGGGCCTGCCCTTCAGGTAAAGATGGTGTGTATACAGTTGTCCCCCAATATATACAGTTGCCCCCAATACCCATCAGGGATTAGTTCCAGGATCCCCTGCAGATACCAAACTCCACAACGCTCAGGTCCCTGTGGTGTAGTATTTGCCCATAACCTATGCAATCCTCCTGCATACTTCAGTTCATCTCTAGGTTACTTATGACACCCACTGCGATGGCTACACATCGCTTCACTTGTGTGGATTCAGTGTAGGACTTGGTGAGCAGGGAAGCCAAATTTTGCTTTTTGGAGCCTTGTGGAATTTTTTTTCCTGGATGTTTTTCATCTGTGGTTAGACGAACCCACAGGTGCAGAACGTGTTGGGCAGGAAGGCCCACTGGATTTGAGGAACTCGGGGACCAGGAAGTCAAATCAAAAGACTGTTAGAACTAAGAGCCATTTTACAGATGAGACAATGGACAAATTCAAACATCCACACATTTGGGGGACATACTTATTACATTAAGAATTTTGATAGAATTTTAAAATTTCATTTAGACAGCTGGTATTGGGTAGACAGGGATTTAGAATTTCCTGGGTAGTTTCAAGCCAATTCACATCCACCCCTTCCCCCGACCCCCTGAGTTTAAGTTCAGTTACTCTTGGAAAAACGCAACTTCCTGAGTTCTAAGAAACATAATTTAACAAAAAAGTTTTCCAGCCTCCCTGGAGGGCATATACCAGGCCGCTAAGAAAACAATGTACGGATTAAGTCAACATTTGAAGAAACTGCAGATTCTGTTTCCCTTAAAATACATGTCGGCTTAAACATTGAGGGCAATGTGTTTGTCAAAACGCAGGCTAGATTTTTGCCAACCCCAGAGGGTTTATAAAATATGTTAAGATTGTCAATAAACTTTCCCTGGGAACAGATCCGTCCCACCCTCCCTGCTGCCGCCAGGAGGGCTCAGCAGAGAGATTGCGGCTGGAGACACCCAAGATGGAAAGGTAATCAAGGTGTGCTGTGGGCATTCAGGTGCCAGGCACCTGCCTAAGGATCCTGTGGGGCCGATACCAAGCCCAGCTGCTCCCGACGCATCTCAGCCCCAGGAAGGTGAAGCGCAGCAGTGAGTCATATGTTAAGCCAAGAAAAGCACTTAAAAGCCAATGGCGGCTAGTGAGCTGTGGCATCTCTACCTGGTGGAACTGAAGCCTGAAGCCAGGGATGCTGAAGACCTGAAATGAGGGACCACTTTATGATGTGTGTAAGGAATAAAGGACATATACGCAGATGATGGCAAACTGATAAAAATGTAAATGCATACAAATATTGAAGAAAACAGGCAATGATGAAAGGAAGGTTTAAAAAAAAAACTCCATTTCTGAACTGGGCCAGGCTGCCCTGATGCCCTCTGCCCTCTGCCCTGTGGCAGAGCCTGGCACTGAGCCCACAGAGGCCCACAGCGTTCAGGGTTCTGCTGTGGACAGGCCTCTTCCCCTGGGTTTCTAAGCACTCACCCACATCTGAACACACGCCCAAGTGAGTCACGGGTCAGAGCCAGGCCAACAGAGCATGTCCCCAACCCCAACCCCTATGTTCCACAGAACACAAAACAGGCCTCCACTGACCCAGGCCTGCGGGGTCACCCTAGCGGGGAGGAGGCGGAACCAGGCCTGCCACCCCTGGAGCTGAGGCCCCCACCCCAACCCCGAGGACCCTAGGACAGAAGAGGGAAGGCATGGGGGTGGGCTCATCACACCTCCAGGGGCTGCAGTGATTGTGCAGAATAAGCAAAAAAGCCAAACTAAAAATAAATATTTCTGAAGGGATGAAGAATGCAGATAAGATGCAGTTATTATGTTCAAAGAACATGCTGAGGCTGACGGTTTTCTGCCAAGGTAGCGCCTGCACACCCTGGGGACTCGCTGGAAGTTTCAAGTCAAACTGCTTCCTCCCCCACCACCCCAATGCAGGAAAAGCAGCTCAGAGCTTCGGACCTGCTGGTGGCGGGTCTCTGCCGGCGGTGGGCTGCAGTGGGCCTGGTGCCCCTGACTTGCGTGGAAGCCGTGTCTCCCTTCCCTGTGTCCCAGCTTTAGACAACGGACTGGACAGCCACCCTGGAAGCCACACGGGGCAGGGATGGCACTGCTGACCTGGTTTGCTCCAGCCCTTGTAGCACAAGGGTTATTTTCACCTGTGGGGGAGGCCCCACTGAGCCTGCTGTCCAGGACTGAGCCTTCCTCTGCTCCCCAATCCCCCTCTTTTCCACCCTGCCACCGCCATCTGCATGGACTTCACAGTGGGCTCACTCTTATCTAAGACTCCCATTGGGTTAGAAAAGAGGGAGCCCACCGTGGGTTCCGACAAGTGGGAGCCGCAGCTGGAGACTCTAGGTCAGGATATGTTCCCCTCCCCCAGCTCCGACCCTGCAGGGCTCCCTCAGGCTGGCTGTGGCCATCCAACCTGGAAGGAAGCCCTCTCAGCTGTTTCCAGGATGCAGTGGCTGCGTCCCCGACTCAGGCCCAGAAGAGGTGACAGCCTTGCTGTTCCGAGCCACGGCCACTGTGGTTCCCTTATGCTCCACCTGCATTTTGCAGTGTCCCTTTATTAAACTCTCCTGGTAGAACCCAGTTTCGAGGGTGCTGGGACCCTGAGGCAGGTGACATCTGGGCCCAGAAGCACCAACAGCGTGGCTGGAATGGACACTGACGTGGCCACCAGAGACTTGTAGCAAATCTGCAAGCCCCCACTTTGAACCAAGACCTACGCAGCTTGGCTTTCTGGACTTCTCCGGTGGGAGCGGTCAGTTGCCCCCAAGCTGTGTGAGGCTGCTGTGGCTCTTGTCACCAGCGTGCCGCAGGCCTCCTTCAGCCCAGTCTTCTGGGCCACTGCTCTCCCGCCAGGCTTCACAGGGAGTCTCCTATGCCACCGGCTCCCAGCAAATGGGAATGTGGGGTTGTACCCAGGAAATTAACAACAATCCCCGCCCCCTCATGTTAGAAGACGAGGAAGCGTGTGGGACAGCCACAGTGGGCTGCCACCTTCAGGCTGAGTCCCCTACTCAACAGGAACAGGATAGGATAGGTACTACCATTTTGGAAAATGTCACTCATCTCATTGAACCAATAAAGTGCCCCCAAATAAGGAGATATTCAATGAATAAACCTGAAAAAGAGGAGGTCAGGGATAAGCAAGTGGCAAGTAATTCTTCTCTTTGCAGAGTAATTGCAATGAAGCCTTTTTCACTGTGAGCTCACCAACCGCATTTGAAAGGCAATTCCGTGTATGAACAAGTGAATGCACCCACAGGGAGGGGCTCCCCACACGCCGGTTCTGCAGCCCACTCTCCCTGGGGCCTCCGGGAGCAGCACCTCACCCACCAACCCCGCACGCCACAGGGAACGGCCTTCACTCTTCCTCTCCCTCTCACCCTTTGGCCCAAACTTTCCTAAGCTCTGCGAGACACCCAGGAAAGCCTGCGGTCCCTGATTGCCCCTGCTGCCATGAACAGAGCCAGAGGTCTCTAGAGGAAAAGCGTACGTAGGAGTCGCCAGCCCCAGCCACTCTGCTCGAGAAATCCAGGACCGGCCAACCACAGGCTCTTGTGGGCCCAGAGCTGTGCAAGGGCCAGGACGGAACCAAAGTGGAAAGAGATCTAGATTTAGAGTTAGGATGCTTCTAGGGATGGGGCCACCACAGACCAGCCATGTGGTCTGGACACAACTTCCCCCACAGTGGTAAGAGAAGCACCGTACAGTCTTCAGAAACCCTCTCTGCCATGGACCAGCTGCGGGACCCTGGACAAGTCCTGCCACCGCACCACGCCTCGAGGGATGTTGGCGACAGCACCCACCCCATTATCGATGGTATCTAGAAAACAACAAGAATGCCGTGTATGCTGCTCATGAGTCTGCACCTCCCCACTCTCCTCTGTGAACTGGTGTCAATCCCACCCACCTCAGAGTTGTGAGGATTCATTACACAATAAAAAAGCACAAAGATGTGTTATTTATAAAATATAGGGCACTAAACAAATGTTAAGACATTTTAATAATATTTCACTGATAGAAAAAAAAAATCCTGCAGGAGAAAGGAACTGGCAACACCTTGCTTTCTTTGGGGATCCACACAAAAGGACTGTCACACACTCACAATGACTCTTTTGCAAGTTGAGCGTATCAGTAGAATCTCAGGATAAAGAAAGATGACCTCTGTCCCCGTCCTTGAAAATTCCTGAAAATACCAACCCATATAACAGCAAAAACAATCCTAGCAAAATGGGCCACAGTTCTTTCATTCCAGTGTCCTGCTTGAGCGGGGATAGCCCTGCCCTCAATTAGGGCAGAAGGTTGGGCACCCTCCCTGGGAAGTGAGTGTCAGTACCTCAAGGGGACAAGCAGCCGTGAGGGTCACCAAAGTGGGTGTGAAGGAAGGAGGCACAGGTGCCAGACACAGAGCTGGGCAGGAGGGTGGGCCCTGGAGGCTTGGTGAGGCTCCAGAGCTGCCGTGGGGGCAAAGCCAAGTGCCCACCAGGCTACCGGCAGCCTGGCAAAGCCTGGGGCCTCACTGGGGAGAAACCCCACCTAATTGTGGGCTAAGCTGGGCTCCCACAACCCGTCCCCAGCCCAGGGGCTCCCGGGGCCAGCTGTGCATAAGACCCACCCAAAAGCTTGTTAGAAATGCCAATTCTAGGCCGGGTGCAGTGGCTCACACTTGTAATCTCAGCACTTCGGGAGGCCAAGGCGGGTGGATCACCTGAGGTCGGGAGTTCAAGACCAGCCTGGCCAACATGATGAAGCCCCACGTCTAATAAAAATACAAAAAAATTAGCTGGGCGTGGTGGCGAGCACCTGTAATCCCAGCTATTCAGGAGGCCAAGGCAGGAGAATCGCTTGAACCCGGGAGGCGGAGGTTGCAGTGAGCCAAGATCGTGCCACTGCACTCCAGCCTGGGCAACAAGAGCGAAACTCCATCTCAAAAAACAACAACAAGAAGAAATGCCAGTTCTACAGCCCTATTCATGGAGGACTGCATCACTGGAGCCCAGGCCTGGGGATCTGCATTTCTGAAACACCACCCACCCCTCTACCCCCAAGACAGTCTTATGTTTGGGAGCAATACCAACTGGACTTAACATTTCTAAAAGACCTCATATTTTCCATTCCTGGTTGAATGCCTATAAGTGTGTGTGGCTGTTTGGGGGGGATGTGTGTTAGTTTGTGGCCACCTCTCCATTATCCACACCAACTCCCAAGTAACCGGTAATCCAAAAGTCATCCCTGTTGGGTTTGAAATATCTGCCCTAACTATGTAATATTTTTTTCTTTTCTTTTCTTTTTTTTTTTTTTTTAGACAGAGTCTGGCTCTGTCACCCAGGCTGGAGTGCAGTGGCACGATCTTGGCTCACTGCAACCTCTGCCTCCTGGGTTCAAGTGATTCTCCTGCCTCAGCCTCCCGAGTAGTTGGAATTACAGGCGCCCGCCACCACGCCCAGCTAATTTTTTGTATTTTTATTAGACACAGGGTTTCATCATGTTGGCCAGGCTGGTCTCAAACTCCTGACCTCTGGTGATCCACCCACCTTGGCCTCCCAAAGTGTTGGGATTACAAGTGTGAGCCACCGAGCCTGGTCAACTGTTCTTATTTAAAACCAGCAGTATCAGGATTAGCCAATATTGGGGCTAATATCCTACCTAAGTTGGAAGGCCTGGGCGAGGCCACAGAGAGTTCACTGATGATGGTGGAAAAGCCCGCGGTGATAAAGAACTACCCACAGCAGAAAGCCTCGCGGCTCATCCAGGGGACTACGTGTGCTACCTGGGCAGTAGGAGGGCCAGAGCTGAAAGGGACCTCACAGTGCATGGGACAGGCCCAGGGGAAGGTGCACCCGAGGCACACTGACCTCCTGAGTGAGTACAGGGCACAAATAGAAACCAACAGGCATGCAGGCAGGGTTTACAGCAATGAGAGGGCTCAGACTGCCATCTACCCCTCACTGGCTGTGCGACCTGGGCGAATTACTTAACTCCCAGCCTGTTTCCACGTCTGTATGTGGGGTAACATAGTGTGACGACGGCACACTTCTCCGCACCGCTGGCCCTTAACAAGCGTCTACTGTTGCTGTGAGAGTCGTCAACAGGAAATGCCAGCAGAAGAGCACAATTGGCCACAAAGAGGCCACAAGGCACCTAGAGACAAGGGAAGGTTTGCTTAGAAGGAGTATAGGTGCAACTTTTTGTTTGTTAACATTGTTGTCAAGGGAGATTTCCTGCCGCTGGTTGACAAATGATCTTCGCCTTTGTAGCGGACGCCCCTCGACCCACCCACCCGATCCCGGCCGCACCCTGCTCTGCACCCGCACCCCACCCCCAGACCTCACCCTGCCCTGCCGTGCGCTCAACAGCCAGATGCTGGGCCCAGACAAGCGCTCTTCCGCTAGTGTGCCGGGATGAGCGGGGGCTGGACTTCTAGAAAGGGGTCTGCGGGCGCAGGAGCTGGGGTCCGCGGTCTGGGGCCGGTGAGCTGCGGCGAAGAGGTCAGGGAGGGAGTGGGAGGGTCTACCTTGCAGGAGCGCGCAGCACTGGCCGTCCGCGGTGCTCCAGAGCCGGGCCGTGCCGTCCTCGCTGCCCGTCAGCAGGCGCTGCCCGTCGGGGCTCAGGCTCAGCCAGTTGATGCCCCCGCGGTGGTCGGCGCAGACCCTCAGGGCCGACCCGCCGCCCCCCATCCCGCTGGCAGGGCGGGGAACAAGAAGGAGCTGCGCCCCGCTAGGGAGGGGCGCCCCGGGGTCCGCGCGGCGGCTCCGTACGACTGCGGCCCGCGGCCATCGCGGGGAACGGGGAGCCCGACTCCTGCGGAGGCACGCGGCGAGGGGAGGGTGAAGGACCCTAGCTCCCCGCTGCCTCCAGCCTCTGGGCCCGCGAACCCAGGGCGCTGCGGGGGGCGGCCCACTCGGGACCTCCGCCCTGGGTAGAGTCCTGGGCGCGCGGGCAGAGAGAACCCCCTTCCCAGCACCGCTCGGAGGATCCACACCCCACCGGGCGAACAAGGCAGCTGCGTCTCTGGTGCACAAGGAGCCCCCCGCCTCCTCTCGCGCCCACGGGGCTGGGGCGGGGAGAGGAACACGGGAAGCCGAGCGCCCCGCGCCCTCCCCGGCCGAGCGCGGAACAATACGGTCCAGCCTGGCTCCTCCTCAGAGACCACCCCTCACCCGATCCCCTCCCACTTCTCGGGCTGCGCCCCAGCCCCCACCCCGCGCGCCTGCAGCCTCCCCCCTTCGTCGCTGTGCGGGTCCGGGGGACGGCTCCACGTGCGACCCTCCTAGCTGCCCGGGCTGCGCCTCTGGGCTCTGGCCTCTGCCACCTCCGCCGCCGCCGCCTGGGTCCCCTGAGCCAAGGGCCGGGACGAGGGAGGGGGAGGCGGACAAAGGGTCGGGGTCGGGGAGAATCGCGCGCCGGGAACTCATTTGGGGCGCAGCTCCACCGACCCCTCGGCTACTCGCCTCCACCAGGCAAGCCAGGTCCTCCCATGCTCTGAGCCCTAAGGACTCTGCCCGAGGGGCTCTCGGGGACTTGGGGGCGGTCCCCCAATGGAGGGTGCGACAGGGAAAGCCCCGAGTCCGCCCTCCCTGGGAAATCACGCGCACACCCAGGATTCTACTTTGGTCTGGCCGGAGTGGGGATGAGGTGCGAGCCGCTGCGGGGTCGGTGGAGCCGGGATGTCAAGTTCACCTTCCAGCCGCCGCGGGCTCCCTCGGCCTGGGGCGCCTCTAATGGACCCCGGGGTCGGCCTGAGCCCTCCCGGAGCGCCCGGCGGCTGGTTTCCATTAGGGCAGTTCCGGCGCCGACTTCGCTGGGGACGGGGAAGGTGACCCCCCTACTCGGATCCCCCAGGTCCTAAAGGTAGCAGGATTTCCAGAACGCTCCAGGGCTCTCTCAGGAGCCTAGGGAGAAGGGCAAGGAAGGGGCGTCTTTGGCGAGCTAGCCCGCAATGGGACGACCAGTACTGCACGCTCTGCTCTATCCAGACTCCAAAAGAAAACCCCATCGTGGGGTGTCCCAGGCCGTTGGGTCGTTTATACCCAGAGTGGCCTAACCAGAGAAATCCGTTCTTTTCCCTCAAAACTTGTAAAGCAGCTGGCGCCTCAGCTTAAGGAGCGTGGCCCTTCCTTAGCAGGTGGTGGAGAGAGGGGCAGTGGAGGAGCGTTAGGACGAGATTTGGGGTCATCCAGCCGGAGAGAGGGAGGCCGAAAGGAGAGACGTTTTCAGGAGGTGGAGGCTTCAGCATTTGGATGCCTGCGAGGCGGGAGAGGCCGGGGAGCCTGTCTTGTGCTGAGAGGCTGGGTAGACTGTTTTGTCCCCTACAGGCTGATCACCAGTTCCTCTTAGGAACCGGTGAACCTCAGGGGGCCCATTGCACATCCAGGTGTGAAACTGCGGTGTGGCCTCCAGGTGAGGACAGACTCGGTATAGTGGGGATCTTGGGCAGGCCCTGCGGCTGCAGCCCTTGGGGAAGGTGAATGTGAGGACCATGGAGGCTGGGAGGGTTTATCCGGAGAAGTGCCAGAGGAAACCCAAACTTTCTGGGCAGAGGGGCCAAGGAGAACCAGGCATCGACTCTTTTGGAAACTAAGAGGGGAGGGGTTTGAAAGCAGTTTGGGAGCTGGGGACAGATCGTAGGTTGGGCGAGCTTGCCTGGTCGTGGGCCAGAGGAAAGAACCACCAGGAGAAAAGCTTAACTTTCAAGGAGGTCACCCAGGATTCCTGAGCAAGGTGGCACCCATGCACTCTGGTTCCTCTCCTCTGCAGCCAACACAAGCCATCAGCCCCATGCTCAGCTCCCAGCAGGCAGAGCGTTCAGAAGCGCCAGCGCCATCATCTTGGGAGCCTGCAGTCCACACACCGCTGACCTTACCTACTTCCTCTTTCCAGGTTGATAGATTTTTTGTTCTTGGCTTCTCCACCTCCCCCACCCCTCCTTCTCCGGTTTGGCACAAAGTGGCCCCCTGGTGGGGATGAGCCAGCCATCTCTGGGGGTTGAGTCTGGACTGTAGAGCTGTGGGTGCAGATGTCCTCAGCCAGCCTGTCTTCCCTTTTCTCTTGCAGGTCGTAGATTACAGACTCTCCTCTGGGAAATTGCCCCCAGATCTAACAGGAGTACAAGAAGCTGGGTAGATTGGAAAACAGCACCGAATTCCCCTGGAACTGAGGTCTCCCCTAATTCCCCTGAAACTGGGGTCTCCCCCAACCTCCACCTTAAGATAGCAAAGCTATAGAGACCCAGGAGTCAGGCTGGGTCCCCAGCAGAACCTGGGCTCCCTTCCCCTTTCACACCTTTAACTCTTCTGGAGCCTCCAAGAGGGCCTGGAGTCCCGTGGTGCCCAGGCCCTCCTGGACCTAATCACTTTATAAATGGAAGGCACCTTGGGAAGGGAACCTGGTAGGGTGTAGGAGGAAATGGTTAAGCTTTAAGAAGCAAGAAATGGGCAGTGTTTAACAAGTGAAGGGTTGGGGGGCGGGTGCATTTTGTGCCAGGGAGTGCTCATTCCCCGTGCCACAGGGACTGCCACAATTTACCCTGCTGGAAAGAGTGACCCTCTGGGGCCTCTCTGAGAAGCATGGTGAAAGCTGGATATTCCTGAGTTGTGTGTGTGTGTGTGTGTGTAGGTGGTGACAGAGGGAGGCACCTTGAGGGGCGCCCACAGGGAACGTCATAGCCAGAGCTTTGTCAGAATTGCTTTTTCCCTTCTGGCACAACCTGCAATGCTGGTGGTGAGGGTGCCTGTGGTCATCATCTTCATAGTTTGGGTACTTACTGTGTGTCAGGTACTGTGCTAAGTGCTAGTATTTTTCAACAGGACGGAAGCCTTCCCAGTCCTGCAGCCACCTGCAGACTCTCACAAGCACGGTGCTCCCGGGAGAAGACCTTGCTACCCCAGGCCCAAGGCAGTCGAGAGAAAACGGGAAGCCCTGAAGGTTTTTCACCCCGGGGGTGAGAGTGTATGATCGAAGATATATTTGAGGGTAATTGTACAGATAGTCCCAACTTAGCATTGTTCAACTTTATGATGGTATGAAAGTGATGACATTCAGTAGAAATTGTACTTCAAGTGCCAATACAATCAGTTTTTCACTTTTGGTGCAGTATTCAATAAATTACATGAGATATTCAACACTTTACTTTAAAATAGGCTTTGTGTAAGATGATTCTGCCCAAATGTAAGGCTGATGCCAGTGCTCTGAGCACATTTAAGGGAAAGCTGGGCTAAGCAATGATGTTCCACAAGTTAGGCATATTAAATGCATTTTTGACTTAGAATATTCTCAACTTGCAATGGGTTTATCAGAACATGACATCGTTAATCACTCAAGGAGCATCTGTACCACTAATGACATAGATGCTGGTTGCAGGAAGGCAGCCAGAGGAGGGCACAGTGTGGAAGAACTCAACTTTTTAAAGACAGAGATCAGCTTTAAATATTGCTAAGAAAGAACTTGGAGAGAGAAGTTGGTGATACCGGAGACAGCAGGCAACAGACAGAGTGAGAGGCCCGAAGAACAAGAGGAGGAGGGAGTCTCTTCTGGGAGCAGAAGGAGTGTCGACTTAAATATTAGGGAGCCAAAGATGAACCTCGCAGAGAACCTGCAAAACCCAGTTGCAGAAATACCTGCCCACACCTAAAAACTCAGTCACTGAAAGTCTGAAGTCAAATGATTATGTGAAATCTTAGTAGTGGGTACATGTGGTTTCATTAGATTATTCTTTGTATCTATATTTGTACTATCTTATAAGCACTATAAGTTTTAAAACCATACAAGAGGCTCTATGGAAAATAAATTGGACTTCATTAAAATTCAAAACGTGTGCATCAAAAGACACTGTCAAGAGAATGAAAAGACAACCCATATGATGGGAGAAAATCACGTATCTGACAAAGGTCTACAATCCAGAACATATTAAAAAACTCCTACAATTCAACAATGAAAGACCGCCACCCAGTTTTAAAATGGAAAAAGGACTTGACGTTTCCCCAAAGATGTGCTCGTGACGAATGAGCATGTGAAGAGATGCTCACTGTTGGCCGGGCGCGGTGGCTCACGCCTGTAATCCCAGCACTGTGGGAGGCGGAGGTGGGCGGATCACCTGAGGTCAGGAGTTTGAGACCAGCCTGGCCAACATGGTGAAACCCCGTTTCTACTAAAAATAGAAAAAATTAGCCAGGTGTGGTGGCAGGCGCCTGTAATCCAGCTACTCAGGAGGCTGAGGCTGGAGAATTGCTTGAACCTGTGAGGCAGAGGTTGCAGTGAGCTAAGATCGTGCCATTGCACTCCAGCCTAGGCAACAAGAGTGAAACTCCGTCTCAAAAAAGAAAGAAAAGAAAAGATGCTCACTGTCATTAGTCATAAAGGAAATGCAAATCAAAAGTACAGTGAGATGCCACTTAACACCCACTACGATGGGTAATCATAGGATGGGAAAAATAAAATAAGTGTGGGTGAGGATGTGGAAAAATCAACCCTCACACACTGCTGGTGAGAATGTAAGATGGTGCAGCTGCTATGTGACCGTCTGGCAGTCCCTCGAATGATTAAACATAGAGTTATAATGTGACCCAGCAATTCCATATATACCCAAGAGAAATGAGCATTATTCCTAATAGACAAGGGAAGAAACAGCCCCACGGTTCATCAGCCCATGAGTAGATTAACTAAATGTGGCATATGCATATAATGGAATACTGTTCCGCCATGACAAAGAGTGAGGTGCTGATAAACGGTACCACGTGCAGGGACCTTGAAAACAGATTAAGTGAGAGAAGTCAGTCACCAAAGACCACATATTACCTGATTCCATTCATCTGCACGGTCCAGAACAAGGGAGTCTACAGAGATAGTTGGTTAGTGGTTGCCTAGGGCTTGGGGAAGAGGTCTGGGGAGTGGAGAAGTGATGGGTATAGTATACACGGTTCCTTTTTGGGGTGATGAAAATGTTCTAAAATGGACTGTGGTACTGGTTGCTTATTTTAATATATCTGTGAATATATTAAAAAACCATTGAATTGTACACTTTACATGGATCAGCTATACAGTATGTGAACTATTTCTCCATAAAGCTGGGGGTTTTTTTGTTTTTGTTTTTGTTTTTTATTTAGATGGAGTCTCACTCTGTTGTCCAGGCTGGAGTGCAGTGGCGCGATCTCGGCTCACTGCAACCTCCACCTCCTGAGTTCAAGCGATTCTCCTGCCTCAGCCTCCTGAGTAGCTGGAATTACAGGCACACGCCACCATGGCCAGTTAATTTTTGTATTTTTAGTAGAGATGGAGTTTCACCATGTTGGTCAGGCTGGTCTCAAACTCCTGACCTCATGATCCGCCCGCCTCAGCCTCCCAAAGTGCTGGGATTACAGGCGTGAGCCACCGGCCCAGCCAAAGCTGTTTTTAAAAAACCATACATACAGTGAGATATCACTTCATATCCACTAGTCTGGGCCATCATTTTTAAAATGGAAAATCACAAGGGCTGGTGAGGATGTGGAGAAATTGTAACACTCATGCAATGTTGGTGGGAATGTAAGATGGTACTGCCACTTTGGAAAAGAGTGTGGAGGTTCCTCAGTAAGGTTAAACACAGAATTACCATATGATCTAGTAATTCTACTCCTAGGTACATACCTCAGAGAATTGAAAACAGGTGTTCAAACAGAAATTTGGACTTAATGTTCATAGCAGCTCCATCCACAATAGCCAAAAGGTGGAAACAACCCAAGTTTCCATGAACAGATAAACAGATCAACAAAACGTGCTATGTTCATACAATGGAAGAGTATTAGCTCCAAAAGGAAGCACTGATGCATTCTACAACATGGTTGAGCCTAGAAAACATGCTAAGTGAAAGAAGCCAGACACAAAAGACCAATGTATGACTCCACTGATGTGAAATCTCCAGAATGGACCAATCCCTACAGAGGGGAGCAGATCAGTGGCTGCCCAGAGCTTGGAGGAGGGGAATAGGGAGTCACTCCTTCCTGGGCACCAGGTTTCGGTTTGGGGTGATGAAATGTTCTATAACCAGACAGTGGTGATGGTTGCATAACATTGTAAATATGCTTAATGCCACTGGATTGCACAATTTAAAATGGTTATGATGGTAAATTTTATGTTATGTGTGTTTTACCACGTACACACATAAAACTTATTTTGTGCCATTAAAAAGAAAAAGCTCTATGAAGCACCTCTATTATTACTACTGTGATTAATGTTTGCAGAACAATATCAGAGAATTAAAAGTATTTAATGTTTGGAGAATAACATATGGCCATATACCCTTAGAACCCAGTATGTACATGTGTCTAGATTGTCAGTGTTGCTGGAGTCCAGAGAAGGATGGGAGCAGCGCTAGATGTCCAGAGAGCCCTGGTGTCCCTGAGCCAGGCCATGCGCTCAAGGGCTCAGATCTCCCCCACACCTCCCACTCCCTCACATTCAGAACAGCGTTCTCTCCATCTGGCTCCAAGGGGTCAATGTCTATTCCAGTCAGGTTCCGCATTTCAAAGGAGGCAGCGTCAAGAGACCAGATCGTCTGCTCCTGCTAGGAAGTCTTTGTCCTGGTCTCTGTTGGTCACTGCCTCTAGCCCTGGAGTCCAGAGTCAGGCCCAGCTGAGTTAGAGAGTTGCTGCTTGGAGCCTGGCCCTAGGCACAGAGGGAGGTCCGGAATTGGGATGCGCATAGGTTTCTGTGGTCCCCCAACACCTGGGACTGGAACGTCTGGGCCCTTCCTGGGTCTCTCACCAGGGCTATGTTATAAGGACAGGGCGGTTCTGGAGAAAGCCAGCTGGTAAACATCCCATCCCCCCAAATTTTCACTTTATCCCCCATACAGCCTCTTCCTGGCAACTTCAGAGAAATGTCAGAGGCTAATGAGATAGAGGGAATGCAGTTTTAAAACAGCTTTCAAAATTCACTCACTTTGACTTCTGCTTCTGGCCAAGAGGGAGTAACAAGGACCCATTTACCCTCCTGCCTCCTCTCTGAAACAACCCTAAACAAACACAAAATATATGAAGCAATTGTTTTCAAGACACTGTACACCAGGTGGTGAAGGACAGCAATCCCCAAGAGACGGGAAAAAATGAGGCGAGCCGATGACTGGCCCGGTTTACTGCCTTGAGAGAATGTCCAGACCACAGAGCAGGAACGGGGATCCCAGACGGAGCCCAGTGGACTTCCTTGGTTGAGGAAACAGCTGAGTGTCTAGGGAGAACTAAGGGACTGGAGTGAGCAGGACAGAGGACTAGAGAAGGGAGAGCCCTGGAGCGCTACACAGGTTCCCCCTCCACATCAGCTGAGTGTCCGTCAGCACGTGCATGGGAGGAAACGACTCCAAGTAGGATAGGGTCAGAGGCAACTCAGCATCTGCACAGAGTGGAGAATAGTGCAGACAGAGGCGTGAAGACAGTTGCTGTGGATAAGAACACATGGGGCCGGGTGCAGTGGCTCATGCCTGTAATCCCAGCACTTTGGGAGGCCAAGGCAGGCGGATCATGAGGTCAGGAGTTCAAGACCAGCCTGGCCAACATGGTGATACCCTGTCTCTACTAAAAATACAAAAATTAGCCGGGTGTGGTGGCATGCAGCTGTAATCCCAGCTACTCGGGAGGCTTAGGCAGGAGAACCACTTGAACCAGGGAGGCAGAGACTGCAGTGAGCTGAGATCATGCCACTGCACTCCAGCCTTGAACAGAGTGGGATTCCATCTCAAAAAAAAAGAAAAGAAAAGAAAAGAACATATGGACACAAAGAGGGGAATAACAGATACTGGGGCCTACTTGGGGGTAGCAGGTGGGAGGAGGGAGAGGATCAGAAAAAATAACTGTTGGGTACCTGGCTTAGTACTTGGGTGATGAAGTAATTTGTACAACAAGTCCCTATGACACGAGTTTACCCATGTAACAAACCTGCACATGTACCCTTGAACCCAAAATAAAAGTTGAAAATAATTTTTTAAAGGACAGTTATTGGCCAGGCACAGTGGCTCACACCTGTAATCCCAGCACTTTGGGAGGCCGGAGTGGGCAGATCATGAGGTCAGGAGTTCGAGACCAGCTCGGCCAATATGGTGAAACCCTGTCTCTCCTAATAATACAAAAATTAGCCAGGCATGGTGGCACGCGCCTGTAGTCCCCGTACTCAGGAGGCTGAAGCAGGAGAATCTCTTGAACCTGGGAGGCAGAGGTTGCAGTGAGCTAAGATCGCACTACTGCACTCCAGCCTGGCGAGAGAGTGAGACACCATCTCAAAAAAAAAAAAAAAAAAAAAGGACAGTTATTCAGTGATTGTACTGTATTCCATATGTTCAAAAACTTATGTAGGAACATGGAAGATATCAAACAGTTCAAAATTGAACATCTAGAGATGAAAGCAATATCTGGAATTAAACAACACTGGGTGGGATTAACAGCAGATTAGATGATACAGAAGAAAATATTAGTAAACTTAAAGACACAGCAGGAGAAACTATCCAAAATGAAAAACAGAAAGAAAAAGGAACTTAAAAATGAAAAAAAAAATCAGTGATCTGTGGGACAGGTACCCTAAATATATGTAATTGGAGTCCTTGTAGAAGAGGAGAAAAAGGAGGTAACAGAAAAAATATTTGAAGAAATAATGGCTGAAAAGTTTCCAAATTTGATGAATAAGTCCATAGATTCAAGAAACTCATTGTACCCCATCACAAAAACATAAAACGCACAAACTACCAAAGTTGCATCAAGAAGAGTATGTAATCAAAATAGCTCTATATCTATTTTTATTTATTTTTAAAATCGAATATCTGGATAAAACGTTCCACAAAGAAAATTCAAGGCCTAGGTGGTTTTACTGGGGAATTGCATAAAACATTTAAGGAAGAAATAATACCAATTCTCCACAAAATTTCCCAGAAAACTGAAGAGGTGGGAACACTTCTCAATTTATTCCATGAGGCTGGTATTACCCTGATACCAAAATCAGAGACATTATTTGTAAAGAAAATTATAGGCTGGACACCGTGACTCATGCCTGTAATCCCACCACTTTGGGAGGCCAGGGCAGGAAGATCACTTGAGTCCAGGAATTTGAGACCAGCCTGAGCAACACAGCAAGACCTCATCTGTATTAACATTTTAAAAAATCAGCTGGCATGGTGGCATGTTCCTGTAGTTTCAGCTGCTTGGGAGACTGAGGTGGGAGGATCACTTGAGCCTGGGAGGTTGAGGCTGCAGTGAGTTGTGATCGCACCACTGCATTCCAGCTTGGGTGACAGAGCAAAACCCTGTCTCAAAAAATAAATAAAGTCCGGGTGTGGTGGCTCACGCCTGTAATCCTAGCACTTTGGGAGGCTGAGGCGGGTGGATCACGAGGTCAGGAAATCGAGACCATCCTGGCTAACACGGTGAAACCCCGTCTCTACTAAAAATACAAAAAATTAGTCGGGCGTGGTGGCAGATGCCTGTAGTCCCAGCTACTCCAGAGGCTGAGGCAGGAGAATGGCCTGAACCCGGGAGGCAGAGCTTGCAGTGAGCTGAGATCGTGCCACTGCACTCCAGCCTGGGCGACAGAGCAAGACTCCATCTCAAAAAATAAAATAAAATAAAATAAAATAAAATAAAATAAAATAAAATAAAATAAAATAAAATAAATAAAAATAGAAATAAGAAAATTACACACCAATATTTATCATGAGCATAGATGCAAAAATTCTTTTAAAAATTTTAGCAATTGAGTTCAAGAATGTATAAAAACAATAAAACATGGTAACCAAGGTTTATCCCAGGAATTCAAGGTTGGTTTAACATCCAAAAGTCAATCAATGTATGGCATGAGGATAGGCATATAGATTAATAGAATAGAATTGAGAGCCCAGACATGTATGGACCATTCAGCAGGGGAAAGAGTAATCTTTACAAAAAATGCTGCTGGGACCACTGGATAGCCATATGCAGGATACATTTGGGCCTCTACCTCATACCATATAGAAAAATTAACTAAAAATGAATCAAAGACCTAAATGTACGAGCTAAAGCTCTAATGCTTTTAGAAGAAAACACAGGTGTAAGTTTTCTTAATCTTGGATTAGGCAATGACTTCTTAGATACACCTAGAGAATAAGCAAACAAGGAAAAAAAATCAGACTTCATCAAAATGAAAAGCTCTTGTGCTTCAAAGTATGCTATCAAGAAAGTGAAAAATCAACCCACAGAATGGGAAAAATATCACAAATCCTTCCAGCCTCAGACCTGGGAGATACCAGATGTTAAGGAGAAAATCCAAAGGACTTGGAAGACCCTTCCTTGACCGCTTCCTCCATTCTCAGTGCATTTCTGAGGACCGAGACAAGCAAGCCACGGCAAGGCTCTTGGCACCTGGCACAGTTCTCCCAGCCCAGATGGAGATCTCAGACCTTCTGCACATAGGCACCACATGTCTTGAAAGGGGCTTTTGTTCTTATCTGCCACAGTAAGGCACCGTGGTTAGAGTGTGTGTGTGACTGGGAGGGACGAGGAGGGAGCCCCATGCAGGAATGTCTGTTTCCACTCACTCCATAGGATTTCTAACTGCCCACAAAATTATGCCTTTGCTTATTCTTTGTGTGGATTCTGAAGCCCAGCTTAAGGAGTGCTGGGGTTGCTAATCCTACAAAGGGTATTTTGTGTGAGTTCAGTGTCCTTCCTAGTGGGAGCCAGGGCTGGTGGGGCCATCCACTCCACACCCGCCTTTATGTTGCTGGGAGCAGAAAAAGGGAGAAAGTGGGAACCATCCAGATTCTCTGGTTGCGGTGAAATAAATGAGTTTAGTGAGTTTAAGCAAGAAAAATGGATTTATTGAAAAGAGAGCAAGAGAAGATAGAGATAAATATCCAGATTTGAAGGATAAGCACTAGGGAGATGCCAGGGAGCTCGGCAGCTGGGCCTTGTGGAATCATCTCCACGATGTTGCTGCAAGTGGACTTGGCTCCAGCCTGCTTTTTCCCAGTGTGCTTTTGCACCAAGTTTAATTCCAAGGAGAGAAGGCTTAAATACCTTACCTTTTCTTTTTTAAGAGATGGAGTCTCACTCTTTCACCCTGGTTGGAGTGCACTGGTATGATCATAGCTCATTGCAGCCTCGGACTCTTGGGCTCAACCAGTCCTCCCACCACAGCTTCTCGAGTAGCTGGGACTATAGACATGAGCACCCACCTGGCTCAAAGGTCAGAGTTTTTAAAGTTAAGTCACAGAAAGGCTGGGCATGGTGGCCCACGCCTGTAATCCCAGCATTTGGGAGGCTGAGGCAGGTAGATCACAGGAGGTCAGAAGTTCAAGACCAGCCTGGCCAACATGGTGAAACCCCATCTCTACTAAAAATTCAAAAATTAGCCAGCACAGTGGCATGTACCTGTAATCCCAGCTACTCAGGAGGCTGAGGCAGGAGAATCGCTTGAACCCAAGAGGCAGAGGTTGCAGTGAGCCAAGATTGCACCACTGCATTCCAACCTGGGCAACAGAGTGAGACTCTGTCCCCCCCCAAAAAAAAAAAGTCAGAATACACATGTGATATTATAGCAGCTGCCCTCTTCAAGGATGCCTGGCCTTCACATTCAAAGGGTGCCAGGTCTGTGGGCTGACCCGGGTCTGGGAATTTCATAACAGGCCATGGTTCTCTAGCATGCTGGTTCTACTTGGGCCTCTTGCAACCTTCCTGAGTCTACAAAAAAAGGGGGACATGAGTGGATTGATTACCGACTTAATTTGGGGGATACCTGTCAATCATCCATGACCTGAGATTTTGGAAGGTGAGACGACTCCCTGAGATCCAGGCTCCACTTAGCCCTACCCAGTGCACTTCCGGAGTGAAGACCTCCAGCTCCCAGTGCTCCTCTCACCCCTCAGAGATTGGGGATCCCCCTTCTATCACTGTCCCTCCCATTAACAATCCATGGCAGTTTACTCTTTGTGGCAAGGCTGAGGGTGGAGGAGTCGCCTGATTCCATCCTGAGGTCCATCCCAAGGGGTGGGTGGGGTGGAAACACACAAAAGGATCTATTTCAGCATCTTGTCTCCCACAGCTCAGAACCAGTCCCTCTCTTATGCCAAGGGTTCCTAGCCTTTCTGCGCCACTTCAACACCATCAACTTTGCATCAGCAGGTTGTTAGGACATGGACAGCACCCCCTAAGCCAGTACACAGAATGCAGAATTGTCTTATCAATACCCTTGGTGCAAGCCAGAATCCAGTTCTTCCCTCTTTGGCCAAGAACCCTCAAAAATCCATTCCCACAAACATTCTCCAGACTTCTGGCAATGTGGATGAGTGACCTCCGGCAGTTTCTCTAGGTCTCTCTGTACTTCTCCCTCTAGTCTAAGCCACACACGCTGAACTCCTGTTATGGGGCAAGCAACGCTACATAGTGGGCTGTGAAGGGAACTCTTAATTCTCTCCTTCAAAAGAGGAGCATCTTTCTCAGGTAAGAGGAACATAGTGGGGGGTGTTTTAAAGGACTTGGGGGATCTGGAGGTTCTAGTTTTCCAAATACTCCCAAATATCCCCGTTCCAATGGTTGGTGTCTCATTCTTTTTGTGTTAGTGCTTTAAATTTCACATCAAATCTCTGGGAAGTTCATGCAGACAACTAACGTTTTCATTTAGCAACCTACAGGATTCGTCTCCAAACTCTGTCCCTAATGAGATTTTAGACTGGTCACAGGAAGGCCTTGAGTTCTGCTCTCCACCTTGAGAGGAGCTTTGTCGGATTTAATCTTGATGTGCATCCAAATATCCAGTGCTGTCAGAGGCAACTACATGTCAGCTGCGTTCTGCATTCTTTTAAAATTATGTTGCAACAGCAACTGTACGACCCTCAAAACCCTGCCTCAGTGTGTTGTACCTGAGCGAGTTAGAGAAAATGCCACACTTTGAGATGAATTAAGAGTCCGTTTATTTAGCCGGTGGTCAAGAGACAGCTAATGCTCAAAGTTCTCTTGGCCCTGAAGAAGGGACTAGATTTTCTTTTATGCTTTGGTTTAGAAAGGGGAGGGGGTCTAATTAAAACAATTTTACAGAAATAAAGTAGGCAAAAAACTTAAAAGGATAAATGGTTACAGGAAAGTAAACAGTTCCAGGTGTAGAGGCTTTAAGACTATTATAAGGTGTTAGAAGCGGGGCTTTTTGGGCGTTATCAATCAGACGAATTCCTGGGAACTGCGGATATAGCTTGCCACAGTATCTTATCAGTTAATTGCATTCTTGGATGTGCTGGGAGTCAGCTTGCACGAGTTAAGTCCTTGAGGAAGGGGCTGCCAGTGAAAGAGCCAAGATGGAGTCTGTCTGGCTCTCTTAGCTAAGGGAGAGTCAATTCAGGTGGAACCAAGGCTAGGTGATTAAAGGGAAGAGGGAGAGTCTAAAAACAGGGTTAGTAAAAACAAGGTTGGGCATTACAAGTGCACACCTGGTTCCAGCTGGCCACGGAGGGTGGCCTGACTAGGCATGTGGCCCGTCTGTACCACAGGCAGCTCTCCCCTTTCATTTCTGTCATAACAAAGTACCACAAATTGAATGGCTCAAACAACAGAAATGTGCTGTCTTACAGTTCTGGATGCTGGACGTCGGAAATAAATGAAGGTGTCAGTAGGGTTGGGTCCCTCCGAGGCTTCAAGGAATCTGTTCCAGGCCTCCCTCCCAGCTTCTGGCGGTTTGCTGGCCGTCTTTGGGGTTCCTTGGCTCACAGAAGCATCACCTGGGTCTCTGCCTTTATCTTCACATGGTGGTCTCCCTGTGTGTGTGTCTGTCTCTAAATCCCGCCCCCCCTTTTTTTTTTTGAGACAGAGTCTTGCTCTGTTGTCGGTGCAATGGTGATCTTGGCTCACTACAACCTCCGCTTCCTGGGTTCAAGCAATTCTGCTGCCTCAGCCTCCCGAGTAGCTGGGATTACAGGTGCCTCCCACCACGCCCATCTAATTAAATTTCCCCTTTTTATGAGGACACCAGTCATGATGGATCAGGGGCCCACCCTACTCTAGTAGGATCTTGATGTGGACTGAACTGTGCACCCCCAAAATTGATGTATCCGAGCTCAAACTCCAATGTGACTGTATTTGAACATAGGGCTTTATCAGCTAATTAAACTTAAATGAGATCATAAGGGTGGAGACCTAATCTCATAAGAAGAAGAGAGAGATCTTGTGCTCCTTCTGCCGTGTGAGGACACAGCGAAAAAGTAGCCAACTGCAAGTTAGGAAGGGGGCCCGTCACCAGGAACCAAGTTGGCCAGCACCCTGAGCTTGGAATTCCCAATTTTCAGAGCTATGAGGAAATACATTTCTGTGTTTAAGCCATCCAGTCTCTGGTATTTTGTTACGATAGTTTGAAAGACTAAGACACACCTCATCCTAACTTAACTAAGTGCATTGCAAGACAGTCCCATTCTGAGGTGCTGGGGGTTAGGAGTTCAATGTATAAGTTATGGTGTCAACCCATAATGCCATCCACACCAGAATGTAAATGGGAGTTTAACTACTCTCTACTCATCTAGATCCCAATAACTAATTCCAAATATCCTACATTTTTCTGCTGGCCTGTGGCCTTCAACCTTCTGTCTAGTAGAAATTTCTGTCAGTTAGGGTTTTTGGTGTGCAGGTAACAGAAACGGACTCGGCTCAAGCCTCTATCCACCTTGGGTTCCTCTGTGTCTCTGTGTAAGATTCAAATTCCCAGGAGTGCATCTGACTGGCCCAGCCCACATGTGGCAGGGCATTGAGGGTGAGGCACACACACCAGAACCAAGGCAGGGCCAGGGGAAGGGTCATTCCCTAAAGGCAGGAATTCTGGGTAGCAAGGCCAGCATGAGTTCTGGGAAGAGGTCTGGACTGCTCCATGGAGACCTACGATGTAAACACAGGCAAACCCCTCTACCTCTCAGGGTCTCGATTCCTTTTTCATTAACCAGGAACAACAAGACTTATTCTGCTCACCTGACAGGTAACCATCAAACATAAATGAAGATAGGGATGCACTTGGAAATTAACATAGAGACTTGTTACAGCAGCCAGACACCCGGCCCCTTCTCTCTCTAATCTAAACAACCACAGCCCTGCAGTTTCCAACGTGAATCATGTTGCCTTCTCTTCTGGAAACCTTTCACATGTTTCTTCATAAAGGCCCCACACCGAATGTGGCATTCCCATGCAATTGTTTTCCATTTCCACATCCCACAAAACTCTCTTCCAAAGAATCTGGGTTTGCTCCATGACAGAAACAAATAGGCCAGGCGTGGTGGCTCACACCTGTAATCCCAGCACTTTGGGAAGCGGAGGCAGGCAGATCACTTGAGGTCAGGAGTTCGAGATCAGCCTGGCCAACATGGTGAAACCCCATCTCTACTAAAAATACAAAAATTAGCCACGGTCAGGATACCGTGGCCATTGAATATATGCCACAGGGCAGGCAGTGCCTCTAATTGGGAAAAAACGAACTACGACCTTAAATAGATGAACTATTTAATAGGTTGGTTTTTTAAAATCTATTTTAGTATTTCCAAGTGCAAGTGTCTTTATTGCTCACCAGACAATGAAGCACAGGGTTTAACACAGGAGGACCTACCTGTTTGAGGTTTGGGGGTTTTTGGTTATTATGTTATTAGTTAGGAATGTTTTCAGCTGCAAATAATAGAAAACCTACGTGTGGTGAAACAAATAGGGGTTCACTTCTCTTACATAACAAGAAGGGTGGCTGCTGATGCTGATTTAGCAGCTCTGTGAGCTTGGTGCCAGCCTTTCCCTGGTTCTCTTGGCTTTTATCTCATGATTACAAGAAGGCTGCCTGAGTTCCTGGCGTCACATCTTTATTCAAGGCAGGAAGCCAGGGGAAAGGGGCTTTTTATCCAGAAAGCCAAAGCTTTTTCTGAAGTCCTTCTGTCAGCTTTCATCTCAGTGACCAGAGCTATGTCCCATGGCCTGGGAGGCAGAGAAAAGAGCATTTGGCTTTTCTGGATGCTTTAGTGAAGGCAGGCAAGGGAGGGAGGAGGGCACTGGGATTGGAAGAGCTAATCCACAGCGTAGGCTGTGGCTCCTTAAATCTTCGTTTGTTTACACTATGAGGCAGTGGTGTAGTGTTTTTCAAACTGGAGAATTGTGACCTACTAGGAGGTTGCGAAATCAACTTAGTGGGTCTCTGACCAGCATTCTTTTAAAGTAAAATAAAATAGAAAATATTGATGCTCAACTAAATAGTGAGGATCGGGACTATTTGTGACACAGCTGTGTTAGTTTTATATCTAATGACCTACATGTGAGTCTCAGTCAAAAAGATTGGGAAGCCGTTGCCACAGGGGATGATGTGTAGAGGGGGTTAGGTGTGGGCTGGGGTCAGACGGCCAGGGGCACTTGGCCTTTTTGGCCATTTATGGCACACATTTGGGCAAGTTACAATCATCCTTTTAGGTCTATTTCTTCCATTGTAAAAGAGAGAAAATAATATACCCACCTTGTTATATGTAAAAAATGGGTTAGCACACAGTTTGTGTCATAGTAATTACCCAAGAAAATGCTGTTGGTATTGGTATCTACTGATAACCAGTCATTGCCAGGTCCCGCTTTCATGACCCAATTAGGTTCACTTAAAAGTAGCAATATACTCATACGTAAACCAGAAATGTTAAAATCTCCTCCCCCACAAAAAGTTGACTTTGGCACAGTGCCGTCCACCGAATCCTGTGGGATGCTATTACAGAAAATCCTAGGAAACCTGTTAATTTCCCCGCAGGAGGGCTAACGTTGAGGGTGCAGCTTGTGAGTCATCGGCATGGGGCCAGCGGACCCGTGGAAGAAACTTCTCTCTGGCCTCGGTCCCAGGAATTGCTGGGCTTCTTCCGGAAAACTAGCTTCCTTTCATCTTTGGGACTGAGCGAATGATGGAGCTGATCCTGTTTCCCTGCTTGCTTTGGCCCAATTAGCAGTTCCTCTCTAGCAGACAGCACAGGACTTGTGGCGGGGAGAATATTATGGATGCCTCGCTTTTTTCTACAACATTTTTCTAAGTCCCCTCTGCCGCAAAGATTTCTTCCCCTACTTTTTGTATCTGCGTTTTTATCACAATGGGCTCCTCCCCTGGCCTTGGGCCCAGTGCCTCCAAGGATAAAGCAACACTTGAGCGTCCCCTCTGTGTGTAGAGGTGACACCACCTCGGCCATCACCAGCCCCATGAAGGGACTTCTACCCAGCAGCCCCACTGGGTGGGAGCGCCCATTTCTACTGCCCGCATGTCTGTCTGTGCAGTTTAGGAATGCCAGGGCTGGTGCTTAGGCTGGGCACACTGTGCGGGGGACATGCCGCCCTGCTCCCTGTGCCTGGCACCTAGAAATGAACACTTTACGGGAATGGAACCCAGGGCACGACCATCTCAGCCCGCGGAACGATCCAGCCCAACTGGTGAGAACTCCCGCTCTTGGTGTTGGGGGCCAGGCAGGGTTCGTGGAGAGGGTCCTTATAACCTGCTCAGCCCCCTAGCCAGAGCAATCCTACACATCGCTGAGCCCTCTTCGGGATGAGAATGCGCACCCTCAGCCCAGCCGTATCCTCTGCCCCTGCCCCTGCCCCTACCCAGGGAGGGCAGTCCTGGGGGTCCCAGGGCAGGCATGGACCAGGACTAGCGTTACCAGCACTGACCTGCCCAGTCCATCCCCCAGCCCCAGCAAGGCTGGGTCCAGGGCTTCCACCCCTCCATGCACAGCCCACGCCAGCTGGGTTCCACAGGATCCTTTTAAATCACAATTCCAAAGCGGGCTGTCCACAGGCAAGGAAGCCAGGAGCCTGTTCACACAAATGCTCGCTGTTCAGGGCAGGCTGCCCAAGTCACCCCTTCCTGGTGTCCCCAGACCTGGGCTACTAAGTCCTGGGGGTCCGGAAGGCAGGGTTAGTCCCAGGTAACCACAGGGACGCTCCAGGGATCCCTGCTGAAGGACAAGGACCTTCTCCTCCTCCTCCTCTTCCTCCTCCTGCATCTCAGCCTCCCCAGCAGCCACAGCCAAGAGCCCTGCCAAGCCGATGGGACCCACGCAATCAATAAGCAGGTGATAGCTTCTTCAGGTAGGGAATGTGGGGCATGGTCGCACAGGAGACCCACAGGGTTCCCTGGGATCCAGCGAGGGCCTTCATTCCCACATTGCCCCCAACAGTCCTGAGCACCTCAGCAACAAGGAGTTAATTTTTT